>NC_000001.11:54099289-54250804 GCF_000001405.40 Homo sapiens | reverse complement strand
GTTTGCACGTGGTTCTGTTTCCTATAGTAGCCGTGGCAGAGCGTTCGCGATGTTCCACCTTGGGAATTCTCTAGCCCCTAACTAAAGGAAGCTGGAAGTCTGAATAAGGCAAGGGGCTTGTTCTCAGGTGTTCTTTCCCTTCTTTTCTGTTCTGCCTGGAGTCTGCTGCACTGGTCACTCCCTTGGTTGCGTGCAGGTGTTCAGGCTCTGGGCCCCCTGCACTGGTTTCTGGGTCCCCTGAGGGTGGAGTAGTGCCCCCCCCCATTCCCGCCCACACGTGCTCCCTTTTGTAGGGAGAGGCGTCTGCCCCACAGAACCACAGCCCTCTGCTCCATCCCAGAATCCGCCCCACAGAACCACAGCCCTCTGCTCCATCCCAGAATCCGCCCCACAGAACCACAGCCCTCTGCTCCATCCCAGAATTGTATTTACAGCAAGCCCAAGCCACCGCTTTCTTCTCTGTGGTGGTTGGAACATCTGTGGTGTTGAAAGATTTTAGGGAGGTCCTTGTCTTCTGCCAGCCCCATAATCCTAAAAGGAAGCAAGCCCACAGCAGTTGCAGCTCCAATATTCTGGTTGTGTTCCTTCCTCAAATCCTCCAAAGTTCGCGTTTCTGCTAGCTCCTTTTAAGCTGCCAGAGTGGCCCCTTCCTGCCTGGCAGCCGCCTGGAGCTGACCTCTGCAGGGCTGCCTGCCTAGGGAAGGGGGCAAGGGGCAGAGTAGGAGCGGAGCTTCCCCTCTCCTGAGTCAGATACAGCTCTCCCTCCCCACAGCCTAAGCCACACAGCAGTCACATTTTATTGGTGTAGAAATCAGCAGTGGCCTTGGATTGTCAGATGTCATGGGATCTGTGTGACTCAGGAGGATGGAATCTGAGGAGGGAAAATCGAATGCCACCGCCCAGCCCATGGATCCTCAGAGGCTCAGCGGCTGCATCTGTAAAATGGGAATAAGAACTGTGCCTGACCTGGAGGGCTGTTGGAAGGGGCAGGGTCCAGTGTCCAGTTCCCTTTTTTTTTTTCTTTTAACAGGAATCAAATTTTATTTTTATTTTTTAAAAGTTAAAATATTTTTTATTAAAAGTTTTTTTAAATTTTTTAAAAAATAAAAAAAGTTTTATTGTTTTTTATTCTTTATTTTATTTTTTTGAGGGTTTACTCTGTCACCCAGGCTGGAGTGCAGTGGCATCATCTCTGCTCACCACATCCTCAGTCTCCCAAGTAGCTGGGACTACAGGCTCCCACCACCACGCCTGGCTAATTTTTGTATTTTTAGTAGAGACAGGGTCTTGCCATGTTGCCCAGACTGGTCTTGAACTCCTGGGCTCAAGTGATCCCCCGACCTCAGCCTCCCAAAGTGCTGGGATTATAGGCGTGAGCCACCGTGCCTGGCCAGGTCAAGTTCTCAATGTGATGCTGGCCACAGGGTGCTCCCGCTAAGGAGGCTATTTGTGTTTTCCAACTTTAGGGACTGAAAACCAATGTTAAGACCTCTAGTTGCTTGGGTTTGGTGATTGCTTTTAATTTCTTCTTCTTTCTCTTTTTCTGGCAAAGTCATTAACAGTTTGTTAGGACCATCGTAACACTGAGATTCTAAAGGCTGGGAACAGATGTCAGGCTATTTGAGAGCAGCAGGGTGTGCTGGCAGTTCAGGACTTCCTCTGGGTGTGGTGGATGTCTCATCATGTCTGCCCCTGACCCGTAGTCCAGCACACTCTTTGGCACACTTTAAAGAAGTGAGGGTCCCAGCGGCTGAGGCCCTGCAGTGAGACTCTCCTGGCCTCACCCAAGCAGTGTACAAGGGGTAGAGCTCCCCTTAGACCCTAGGAGTGTCTCCAGCGGGAGGGAGAGAGGCTCACCCGTCTTTATTTATGTTACACACCCTTGCCAACCTCAGGAACTCTGGAAGCATATCTCCTGCTCTTTATTTTACTTTATCAATGTGGAGACCCTAAAGTGCTTCACCCATGTTTCCTATACTCCTCTGGGTAGGGTGAGTATTAAATCCCAGAGCCAAACGTCCCTTGAAGAAACCCAGGGTGTCTGCACTGGCCCATCACTGGGGTCAGGAAAGCCTGGCATTGATGTAGCACTGGGCCCAGACAAGGTTGATGGTGCAGGATGGATTACAGGGTCTGTGGTCACCTACGGGCTCATCTTGGGCCCGGCAGAGCCTGGTGGTTTGGGACTCTGAGGTGGAGGGTAGGGAGAGGGCAGACTCTCCCTGTTCCCTAGGCCATTTCTGTCTCTCCCCTGAGGATGATGCCCTGTGGACAGGACAGGGACAAGCCCAGAACTTAGTTCTGGAAAGCACAGTCCTGACAGCAGCTCAGCCTGGCTGGGCCTCCAGTCTGTCATCTGCAAAACGGGCAGCAAGTGATGGCCTCATGGGGCTACTGGAGGGTGGGCGAAATAGCAGCTGTGAAATGTTACTTGAAGTCCCCACATGGTGTCCTGTGGATCCCTTCCCCTTCCCGCAGGCCCTGAGCTTGTGGGAGGGAGCCCTGCCTACTGCCACAGCCCGGGCTGTCAGGAAGGGCGGCCAGCCCCTTCAGCATAAAGTAAGCACCACAACACACACAGTGCTGTGCTGAGACCAGGCTCAAAGGTGGGAGACCATCGGCATGTGATTCACAGCCGGGAATTAGATTGCTTTTAGCCAGTGACCACTCCAGAACTTTCTGAACAAAGAATAGGTACAGCGTGGTCGGTCATAGGGCTACTTTATTTCAAAACCGAAGGGAGTGACATTGCATTTTGTGAGTCTGTGTCACATGTCAGCCTAAATGTCTCACAGGAACCAGCAACGCAGGTATCACCCTGTCCTTTGTCATCAGTGCTTCAGACAGATTTTACTCTGGTTTTGTAAAGTGCCAGTGCCAGAAAGGAGATAGTACTTCCACTTAGAACTCTTCTTTCTAAAAAGTTTTATGTATGTCAGTATCAGGTAGTAACGTCTTATCCTAGTGTTTCAAAAGTGAATTCTAATAGGACGAAGCTAAAACTGAGGGGCTCCTGGTTGGACTTAGTAGAGAGAATGCCAGCCCCCACCAGAAGTGCGGTGGCTCCCAGACCCCGGGGTGCCAATTCTGAGAGCCACCGACTTGTTGTTGTTTCTGGTATTCAGGCTGGGGCTGGAGCCAGGACAGAGTAGAATCAGGTCATTATCCTGGTTTGTCTGCATTTGAGAGTTCAGATGAAGGAGAATCCACAGCCCCTGGGACAATCCTATGCCACCCCCATCTCCTGGGGCTGATCCAGGGCCAGTCCAAGCTCAGTGCCACTGAGCAGAGGCCCCCAAAAGAGATGGGTGGGTCATTAATCCTGGTCCTGAGCACCCCGAGCTGGTGAGGAAGGAAAAGGGCCCCTTGAGGAACTTTCTCTGGTGGTCCTGCATGAGATGGCCAGGCCCCTGCTGCCCAGAAAATGGCTGGGACAGCCTCAAATCCACTCTGGTAGGTGAGTCCTAAAGACTAGGAGAGCTATCCCCTAAGGGAAATACAGCACTGTGTGTATTCCCTTCCCACCTGCCTCCTGCAAGATGCTTGGCTAAGAATGCAGACTCTGGGGGCCAGCAGATCCAGGTTTAAACAGTGGGCACCTAGAAAGCCCTTCTGAGGATGTGGCAGGAGGGAGCAGCAGCCACCGCCTCCAGGCTGCAGCCCCAGACAGCTGCTCGGTCCCTTCTCACTGTGGACCTGGCGGAGTGCAAAGCTGAGACAGTGGCCCCTGTGAATGTGGCCAGCCCCACGGCTGCACTGGAGGCTCCTGCTCTCTGCCCAGCTGTCCCTGCCCCTGCAGAGCGGTGCCAGTGGCAGAGGGATACCTGGTTGGTAACCGACCCTTGTACAGCTTCACCGTCATCACCTCCAGCCACGTGGTGCTGCAGGCAGGCAGGCAGGAGCTGGCCAAAGAGGGAACCCGTTTCTACTGAGTCTGAACTTCTGGGCATTCCTGCCCTATGTGAGAAAACTTCGCTGCAAACCAGATTTCAGCCTGCTACTCGCTCCTGACATCTGTGTGGCCTTGGGCATGTCTCTGGCTTTCTGGGCCTTCAAGTTGTCATCTATGAAATGATGAGGTGCAAGTGGCTCTCCAGGGTCTGTGCCTCTATAGGCGGCAGGACTGGTGGAGAAGCTCCCTCTAGGAAGCTGCCATGCCGGTTCTTGGAGAGGCTCCTGAAGGCCAGGCAGGGTCAGGAGCGGCAGGATAGTGCACTTGGAGCCTCCCAGCTCAGCGCTGCGTACTGCATGTCAAGAGGGCTCTATGGAGTGAGCACCTGCTTATCATCTCCTCTCACCCCACTCCGTGCTGAGACATACCAGGCTTCTGCTCTTGTTCTGAGATGCAGGCCTTTCTCTTGGATGGGAGAGGCGGCTGCAGTCCTGGAAAAGAACTCCATCTGGAAGACCTCTCTAGTCAGCTGGGCTGTACACACAGTGGAGAATAGGCCTGGGGAGGTGGCAAGCTGCTTGTCCTGGAGCAGCAGGTGGGGAGATGAGGCTGAGATTTGTAGAGGGGATTAGAAAGGGCCCTTTGAGACCCAAGCTTCTGCAATGCTGCGGTAGCATTAAGGGCTTTGGTGTTTGTTCTGCTGCTGACGTCCCAAATCAGTGCACACCTCCTAGGGCTTACGGGGCACTTCAGAACCATTGTTTCATTTGATCCACTGGAGACCTGCAAGGTTGGAAACACATGGGGCTCTTTGTCCCCATTTTATAGACAAGGCAGCACAGCAGAGGGGATTGTGGGTCTAAAGCCAGAGCCATGCTGCAGGGCTTCACCCCAGCTCAGCCACGCACAACTGCACAGTGGGGTCATTCTTCCTCTCTACCTCAGTTTTCTGGTCTCTAAAGTGGGTGGAGGAAAGGGGTCATTGTGACGATTTATTGTAGGCAGTGCACACACAGTCTGTGGTACATGTGGGCATGGAATAAGCACTATTGTCATTTGGTAATTTGCCCAAAGTCACCAGCAGGCAGCCAAGCCAAGGCCAGCCTTCCTGTGTTCTGACCTCAGGTCTCGAGTTCTGCTCTTCACCCTGTGGTAGAGTGGGCTTGGCCCCAGCACATTCCCACAAGGCTGCCACTGTTTGCTTGAAGCCCATGCCCTGAGCAGCCACAGGGTGAGGCGGGGCCTGCCTTCTCTGGCTCCGGGTCTGGCTCTTTGTCAGCCAGCCTGGTGTTGCTCCTGAGATCATCTGCATCCTGTCTGGACATCCTTCCAGACTCCAAGCCTCTCTGTGGCTGAGCAAGCGGAGCAGGTGGCCCCAGGGTGGTGAGATTTGGAAGATGATCCCTGGATGCAGAACCCACTATCAGCCCAATATTGGCTCTGTGTGTGTCAGGCTCCAGGTCTCCATCTTCCCATTCTGTCCCCCTTCCCACCCGCCTCCCGCCAGTTTCTTGGCTAAGCATACAGAATCTGGGGGGCCGGCAGATCCAGGCTTAAATCCTAGCTGTCCATTTGCTCACTGCAACTTGAGGCAAAACTTTCTCCCTCAGACCTTCAGTCTCCTTTTCTGGGAGACTGAAGTGGGAACAATCCCAGCCTCCTGGAGTTTTCACACAGATCAAACAAGAGACTGTACATAAAGTGTGTCATGCACTCAGTAAAGGGCAGTGAATGCTGGCTGTTCCTTTGCCATCAAAATTCCAGCAACCTACTTCAAGTTCTCCTACAAGGGCAGAGCTTAAGCTGCAGCCAGGCTCCCTTTGGTCTTCATGCATTCCCTTCTTCGGTCTTTCATTGATTGCTTCAGTGCCAGCGTAGTGAGTGCCAGTCTGTGCCACTGGGTGCATGGGGTGGGGGGTATATGATCATCAAGACACAGCCCCACCTTCAAAGGGCACTTGGAGTCCACTAGGAGAGATGGGAGATGGACAGACACGTGGCCATGATCAGACCCAGTGTAGCATGGTGGCGGGGGAGGGAGGTTAGAAGGCATTGTGGGAGTAACAGGGCTGGAGCAGTCAGCCCGAAGGGGTGGGGTCAGGAGGGCTTCCTAGAGGAGCTGCTCTTGGAGCTGAGTAGGAGCCTGCCAAGCAGGGAGCAGGGAAGCAAGGCATGTATGACTGCAGGGAAAATGACACTTGGAGAGAGGGTCACGAGCAACACTGGCCTGGTTATATAGGAAGAGATGCGCGTGATACGAGGCCTGGTGCCTTGACCCACCCCGCTGTGCCTCAGTGGGCCGTCCTGAGCTGAATCTGGACTGCTGGGACTTCGTGAGTTCTGTGTAGACTTTTCTCTCAAACATTGGCTGGGCACAGTGGCTCACGCCTGTAATCCTGATACTTTCGGAGGCTGAAGTGGGAGGATCACTTGAGCCCAGGAGTTCGAGACCAGCCTGGGCAATGAAGGGAGACCCCATCTCTACAAAAAAATTTAAAAATTAGCTGGGCAGGCTGGGTGCGGTGGCTCACACCTGTAATCCCAGCACTTTGGGAGGCCAAGGTGGGTGGATCCTGAGGTAAGGAGTTCGAGACCAGCCTGGCCAACATGGTGAAACCCCGTCTCTACTAAAAATACAAATATCAGCCCGACATGGTCGTGGGCGCCTATAATCCCAGCTACTTGGGAGGCTGAGTAATGAGAATCGCTTGAACCTGGGAGGTGGAGGTTGCAGTGAACCGAGATCATGCCACTGCTCTCCTGCCTGGGCAACAAGAGTGAGACTTCATCTCCAAAAAAAAAAAAATCATCGAAAATTAGTTGGGCATGGTGGTGCATGACTGTAGTCCCAACTACATGAGAGGCTCAGGTGGGAGGATTGCTTGAGCCCAGGAGGTCAAGGCTGCAGTGAGTTATGATTGCACTACTGCACTCTAGCCTAGGCAACAGAGCAAGACGCTATCTCAACAAACAAAACAAAAAAAAACTCACACACACATAGTGATGATCCCTGAGTGCAGAAATGGAGTTTTCTCCGGCTTCCCAGCATCATGTCTGTGGAGGGCCTCTGATGCTGACACATGGGTGGGGTAGGACTACCACCTGGACCTGGGGCAGGTTGGCGTGTCTGTATGTGCCAGGCCTGGGCCTGCACCAGCCTCGGGCAGGCTTCTCAGGAGTGCCTGCTCCCATCCACATTGACACTCACCCCTCGCCTCCCTGCCTCCTCACCTCAGAGCCTCTCAATGGGTTCCAAGACCAAGTCCATCCCCTCTTACCCGCCTGAGCCCAGGGGGAAGGTACAGGATGACATCATGGGAGCCCAGAGAGGGCAGCGGCTTGCTGGATAGCCACATGTTTTTGAGAACTTCATCTTGAAAGCTCCTGAAAATGCACTGAATGTTGTGACTGTCCCTCTGTGCTGGCTTGTCATTGTGGTCCCTGTGACTTGGTTCCCACCCGCCCCACCGTTTTTGAAAGAATGTATTATTTTTTCTCATCAATCCTTTTCACAGACTAACCCTCTCACTATGTTTTGTCTGTTTGTTTCTCCTCCCTCCTCCTGTCTCCGGTTCCCTTCTTCTCATAGACTGACCCTTGGTTATCGTTGCAGAATTACGGCAGCGGCATGAGACCACCACCCAACTCCCTCGGCCCCGCCATGCCCGGGATTAACATGTAAGGCAAAAACGACCCGGCCCGTGGCTCAGAGTCCAGGTCTTCCCCCACCCTCTGCCAGCACCCTGGGAGACTCATGATAAGGGGTCATTGCTGGTACCTCTCTGGACCTCAGTCTCCTCATCGGTAATGTGAGGATATTGATGATCCTGGTGATGAGAGCTCAGCCTCATAGAGTGCCTCTGTGTGCCGGGCACGGTTCAGGCATGCTGCGTGCATCAGCTCACCTCATCTTCATGATTACCCTATGACGCGATGATTTTTATTTTTATTTTTATTTTTTTTGAGACAGAGTCACATTCTGTTGTCCAGGCTGGAGTACAGTGGCACAATCTTGGCTTACTGCAATCTCCGCCTCCCGGGTTCAAGCGATTCTCCTGCCTCAGCCTCCTGAGTAGCTGGTGTTACAGGCTCCCGCCAACATGCCTGGCCAATTTTTGTATTTTTAGTAGAGACGGGGTTTCACCATGTTGGCCAGGGTGGTCTCGAACTCCTGACCTCAAATGATCTGCCCGCCTCAGCCTCCCACAGTGCTAGGATTACAGGTGTGAGCCACCGTGCCCGGCCTGACGCGGTTATTATTATAACCCCCTTACAGATGAGGTCACCAAGGCACAGAGAGGTGAAGTAACTTGCCCAGGCTCACACAGCTTTCAGTGGCAGGGTCAAGAGTTGAACCTCTGGACAGTGTAGCCACTGTTCTCTAGTGCATTTGTGATTTTTAACCCTGTTGTGAGAATGTGGACTCCCTTCCTAGGAAAATGCACATGCAAAGGGAATTTCACATATTTTTTATCTAATTTTATATACTTTGTAAAGTTTACCTATAATTTAAAGCAATTCATAGATTTCCACCCATGAAGTTACCCATTACTGCCCTGAGCCAGAAGGCTCTAAACCGCAGGGCTGTAGGAAGGACTTCCTGTTGTGATTTCAGCCCTTTCCTTCTGCCCCTGCTGCCTCCACCGCTTGGAGTTTACAGCGCCTTTTTCATTGTCCACATCTCTTTCTCCCTCTCTCAGGGGCCCGGGAGCTGGCAGACCCTGGCCCAATCCTAACAGTGCTAACTCAGTGAGTACCTGGGTCGGGTGGGGTGGTGTTTGTCAGGGGAGCGGTTCTGGGTGCAGGGGAGCTACTGTCCCTGGGTGTAGGTGTCACGGGAAGTGGGAGATGCAGCAGGACTCTCCTGATGCTTCTAGGGAGAAGGCCGTGTGGAGGTGGAGGCCTGGGAGTAATGTGCAGGGGTCATCAAGGGCTCCACCCCTGCCCTGCCTGCCCAGCCAGCCCACTCCTCTAAGGAGTAAGCTGAGAACCTGGGCTCAGAGAGCACTGTTCAGAGTGGAGACCTCTACCCATCTCCTCCCCAGCAGGGCTGGAAGGTGCGGGTAAGGTGCTCCACACAGACAGTGGGGTGAAGGCCAGAGGAATGTGGGGTAAAGCTGTTTCCTGCCCTCTCAAACCGGAGGGCCTTCTATGTCCTCCCTGTGTCTGTGGCTCCCTCCCAGGACTGGGGAGTAAGAGACCAGGGTCTCAGGGTCAGTTCAATGTAGCAGAGAGAACTGGGCTTCAGCCACGTCCCAGCCCTCCCAGGGGAACCAAGTGGGTGGCCAGCTCACTGGGTGGCGATGCCTTTCCTGTGAAGAGTGGGTCGTGTCCTCAGGGAGGTTTGGCAGCTGAGGGCACTCAGTGACTCTGACGTGGGGCTCCCTGACATCTTGTTTTTAGATTCCATACTCCTCCTCATCACCTGGTACCTATGTGGTAAGTGTGTGGGTTTGGGGCATTGCATGTCTAGCCACGTGGGACTGAGTGTGCAAGAGAACTGGTCTGGGGTCCCCGTTTCTTTCCCTTTCACACATTCTTCTGAGCAGAGGTTCCAAACTGCTAGAACTTGCTGTCAATATTCAGTCATCTGTACAGACCCAAGGTGGCCCAGAAATCCCCAAACCAGACCTGGGGGTGGAATTGCCTTCTGGGGAGCTGACCAGTGGGCTGCTTGGCGTCCACCGCAGGCCTCTCTAGTGGGCATGCCTGTGAGCACATAATGCAGGCACACACACCCACAGGGGCCGCTTGGTCTGAAGAAAGGGACAGGGGACATCCAGGTCCCCTTCTCAAGCTTGAGTACTTTGAGTGAGCGCTGGGGGTGTAGCAAGATGAATAGCGGCTGGGCCTGGGGCGAGCAGTTGCTGCTGACCAGGGAGGGAGGATGCCGGCCCCTCCCCATGTTCGTTACCACCGTGGGTGTCTGATGTCAGTTTTGTCTCATCTTTAGGGACCCCCTGGTGGTGGCGGTCCTCCAGGAACACCCATTATGCCCAGTCCCGCAGGTAAGAGCGCTTGAGGGGAAAGTGGGGGGTCTGGTGGTGGAGGGTGGGGCATGTTGCCAGAGAGACCTGGAGGGGCACTGTTGCAGAGCCAGAGCTTACCAGCCACTCCTTCCTGGGCAGCACATCTTCCACTGGGCATTTAGAGGGCAGGGGGTCCCTTGATGACACTAACCTACTCCTCTGATGCTGCTCCATAAAGGACAGGGCTGAGCAGAGCAGTCCAGGAACAGGGATTCTCGTTGCCTTTGAATCCCTTTTGTTGGGAAGAACCCTGTTCAGGGTGGGCATTTCCCCAAATGACTCAAAAAGGGGCCTTGGGGTTCTGCCATCCTGGGACCAGGATTCTGAGGCATGCTACCTTTGGAGTTTCCGTAGCTCCTGGCTTCTGGTCCTCTATATAGGAGATCCCTTCTCCCCCCCGCCCCCCCCCCCTTTTTTTTTTCTTTTTTGAGGTAGAATCTTGCTGTCACCCAGGCTGGAGTGCAATGGCGTAATCTCAGCTCACTGCAATCTCCACCTCCCAGGCTCAAGCGATTCTCCTGTCTCAGCCTCCCAAGTAGCTGGGATTACAGGCACGCACCACCATGCCCGGCTAATTTTTGTATTTTTAGTAGAGATGGGGTTTCACCATGTACCCAGGCTGGCCTTGAACTCCTGACCTCAGGTGATCCACCCGCCTCAGCCTCCCAAAGTGCTGGGATTACAGGCATGAGCCACCACACCCAGCCCTCCCTGTTTCTTTAAACAAAAGAGGGCATGCGTGCACATACGTGGGCATGTGTTGCGCGCGCGCGCGCACGCACACGCGCGCGCGCGCACACACACACACACACACACACACACACACACACACACACCCCATCACAATTATGTTTCTTTCCCAGCTAAGAATAGCATACCAGCCAGCTAGAAGGAATTCAACATACGATCCTTACCCACCCCAAAAATAAAAAGTGAGAGGTAGCTGGATTTCTGCCCAAGAATTACAGCGCCTGCTCCTGATAGAAACGTTTTAGCTGGAGACTTTTTTGGCTAACTGGGGAGATGGAGGGGACTCTCCCCCGCCCCCTCCTCGGCTCCCCATAGCAGGGAAGCTGCTCAGCTGCAGGGGTGGAGCTGGCCGCAGCCGGGATCCTGGGCTCCCACTCCGGCTCTCTCTTTCTGCTGCTGCATTTTGATGAGCTGCATGACCTACATTCCGACTGGGCCACATGCACCCACTCCATATGTGAATGCGTTTCCAGCCCCATCCCTGCCTCTCCCTCCTGCCCCATCAGCCTGGCAGGGTGGCCTCTGGGTAATTTGCCACGTTTCCCTTTCCCTGATTTGATTAAAACCACTTTGTAGGGTGGTGGGAGAGCACAGGTGGTGGGAGGAGAGCACAGGTGGTGGTTCTGCTGCCCCCATGTTGTCCCAGGCAGTGTCTGGGGACCAGATTCGGTGTGGGGTGGGGAGACAAGAATTTGAACCCGTAATCCCCCTGTGCCGTGTCCACACTGCTGGGGTTGAGTGGTTTTCACAGTTGAATTTTCTGTGATTAAAAACTTTGTGAATCTTCATTAAATACAAATTAGCCAGAAAATGGTGGTACTTAGAGGAAATTTTAGGTTATAAAATACAAAAGAATGAGTTCCAGTGCCATGAGTTTGTTTTAATTAAGAAACGAATTAATCACCCCGACTTGTGGGTTTCCACTGTTCTACAGATTCAACAAATTCCAGTGACAACATCTACACAATGATTAATCCAGTGCCGCCTGGAGGCAGCCGGTCCAACGTAAGTCTGCTTTCTAATAATTTACATATCAGACACCATAACAAATCATAATTAACTTCATCAGCTGAGGGGAAAGCAAGTTTAATTGATTTCAGCCATTTGTTACCAAAGATGAATAAAATAAACCGTCAGAAAAGTGATTAACTCTTGGGCAACTCAGTTCCCATTTCATGGGCGGCAGGGGGTGGGAGAGGAAGGGGTGGGACGATGCCCACCCTCTGGTTAGAGCCAGGGTGCCCGCTGTGCTGCTGGGACTTGCCACCTCCTGCCGTGCTGGTGGGGGAAGCGCCATGCTGTAGGTGGGGTCTGGCCTGGTCTCTGCCCAGCAAACTGGCTGTGGCCCGGGCAATCCCTCTCCTCCTGGGTCTGTTTCTGGGGCTATGGAGTTGAGGGTGGAGCCAGCAGCAAGGGGACAGGGCTCGCTGGGGGACCCGCCTGCCTGTGCTGCTGCCAGGAGCTCTGGAACTCCCAATACCTGGCAGCTTCTTTGCCTCTCAGAGTTGCAGCCCTTGGGTGATGTTGCAGCTCACATTTCCCCATTTCTGATTACTGCTTGCCCCACTTCCTCCTGTGTCCCCTGCACCCACTGGATGGGACTTGGTTAGTCAGCTGCAGCCTGTCTCCTCACCCAGGGGGCGTTGCCCGAGGTCGGGGCCTGATCTGCTTCCCCTCCACAGGCAACCCTTCCATTCTAGTTCCTTCCCTTCCTCCTCCATGCAGGCCTCAGGTGAACCTGTTCAGCCTTGCCCCTCCAGGAGCTCAGGGTCTGAAAAGGAGGTCTACAGACTGTAGAGCCAGAGAGTGGGCCTGGGGCCCTAAAGTGCGAGGCTTTGGCCTGGTTGAGGGGGTAGGGCCTTTTGGGGCACTCTGGTTTTGTTGGCTCCGTTCCTGAGGTGACACCCGGATCACCCCACGTGTTAAACCCCGAGCGCGGGCTGCCCTGTGCTGGATATTGCCTACATCCAGCAGCCCTCTGAGGGATGGTTTCTGGCCTGCCTCCGTTGCCAGGGTCCTCACTGGTGTGACCAACCATCTGGCTTTTAACACTAAAAAGCCCCACATCCTGAGGAATCCCAGGACACAGAAAGTCCTGGGTTTTGTCAGTGATGCAGAAGGTTGGGTGGAAAGTATGAAACCCACACAGAGGGATGACAGCACCATTTGTAGCATCGGATGGAAATGGCGTGGATGATCTGCCTCGAGTGGTCACTGTCGCCATGTTGCCTGACGTGGATGCTGGCATCAGGACTTGTGATTCACCATGGATCACATCACTCAGGCTGCAACTCCGCACGCTGCAGTCATGCATGTTAGCAGCACTTGCCTAGGAGTCTGCTGCAGATTCAGTGTTGGGCTTTTTGTCTAGACGGTGCTGGTTTCAGTCTTGACATCATGAATATTGTGACTGTATTTCCTAAGAGTTCAGATGATGAAAATGAGAACGGTGACAATGACAGCACCAGCGTGACCCAGGCATCACTGGGAAAGAAGGTTAAATGACCATGTTACTTTAATGACAGATGCAAGGACACACACAACTGGATTAGGGAGGAAAGAACCCAAACAGAATGTACTGCGCGGTGTGCAGAAAAGAATGTGAGAAATGGCATATGGAGAAGGGGAGGTGGAGGCACATTGGACATTGAGTCTCTCAAGTCTGAGGCATATCTTTCTAAATCAAGGTTTTTTTGACCTCCAAAGAGACAGCAGTTCTCAGTCAAAAACAGTGGTCGCAGAATTAGCTTGGGCGCACTCCTTGAATGGACGCCATTATCATCTTGTTCCCTTGATTGCACCGCAAACCAAGAAGGTTACATTTCCTGATTCGGAGGTTACAAACTAAAAGTCCTGTGTGTGAACCAAAGGACGAGGGACTTTCAGTAACAGATGCATTGCCCCTTTACAGTAGTGCTGACCCTGTCTGATCCTTCCAGCATTCGTGCTTCCGAGTGCGTCAAGGGCTGCCTGAAGTCATGGCTACAGGTTTCCGCTAGCTCTTAGGTATGTTGATTTGAAAACTGGAGTTTCAGATCGTCTTCTCGATTTCTGTGAAGATTTTAGTGAAGCCACTGAAGACGTAAGAGATTGTTGTTCTCTTGTCCAAATACAACCTAGACTTTGCTCATTTATCTACATATTTGGCAGACAGTACACAGTTAATTTGAGCAAATTTCATTTAGTCCATAAGCTTCTTACCAATGAAAATGAAAACATCTTACCTGCTAAATGTTCACACCTCGTACCCGACACTGTCACAAAGGGGTGTAATTTGCTTACCTGTGATACCAGCTTTCATAATGAAAGTTTTGGGTCACCTTTCGGTTTCCTCAAAACATGCCAAAGCACTTAATGAGATCTTTGACTTTATAGACAGGAGAATGCCTCAGACACGTTTCCACAAGATGACTATCATTGCTGGCCATAGAAAAGATGTTAAAATGTTGGCTTGCCATGAAAACTGCTATTTTTTAAAGTGTGAGACAAGAAGGATGTCCTTCTCTAATTTGGAAATGCATTGAGATGAGAATGGAAAAAGGAATTACAATAAAATACAGGCCAGGCACGTTGGCTTACGCCTGTAACCCGAGCACTTTGGGAGGCCAAGGTGGGAGGATCACTTAAAGCCACAAATTCAAGACCAACCTGGGTAACAAAGCAAGACATCCTCACCATCTCTGCAACAAAAAAATAAAAATAAAAAATACATAGGCTGGGCGCGGTGACTCACACCTGTAATCCCAGCACTTTAGGAGGCCGAGGTGATCAGATCACTTGGGGTCCGTCGGGAGTTAAAGACCAGCCTGGCAAACATAGTAAAACACCATATCTACTAAAAAATACAAACATTAGCTAGGTGTGGTGGTACATGTCTGTAGTCCCAGCCACTCGGGAGGCTGAGGCAGGAGAATCGCTTGAGCCTGGGAGGTGGAGGTTGCAGTGAGCCGAGATCACACCACTGCACTCCAGCCTGGGTGACAGAATGAGACTCCGTTTCAAAGAAAAAAAAAATACATAAACACATTAAAAATAAAATAGAAATGTATATACTGTTTTGCCAGTACTCTCTGATGCTCCTTAAGGAGCCCCGAGGAGCCTAGATGGGGCTAGCCAGCCACACTTGGATTGGAGAGGGGGCCACAAAACCTCATACAGCAGGAATAATGACCCATTTAATGCTTGAGAACTCAAAAAATGTCACCAGAAAAGGCAGTCAAGTTAAACAGGACTTTATCAATTTCTTCATTAAAACTATAACATATTTGGAATCCAACTTGGATTTTGCAACTTCAGATTACCTCTGTGCTTTAAAATCATTTTTTATAACAATTTTAATTTATAACATCCATTGTGCTTTGGAGTGTTAAAAAATGATGGACATCTGGCCGGGCACGGTGGCTCATGCCTGTAATCCGAGCACGTTGGGAGGCCGAGGTGAGAGGATCACTTGAGGTCAGGAGTTCCAGCCTGACCAACATGGTGAAACCCCGTCTCTACTAAAAATACGAAAATTAGCCAGGCGTGGTGGCTGGTGCCTGTAATCCCAGCTACTCAGGAGGCTGAGGCAGAATTGCTTGAACCCGGGAGGCGGAGGTTGCAGTGAGCTGAGATTGCAACGCTGCGCTCCAGCCTGGGTGACAGAGTGAGACTCCATCTCAAAAAAAAAAAAAAAAAAAAAAAAATCAGCCGGGCATGGTGGTACACGCCTATAGTCCCAGCTACTCAGGAGGCTGAGTCAGGAGAATCGCTTGAACCTGGGAGGTGGAGGTTGCAGTGAGCAGAGATCGTGCCATTGCACTCCAGCCTGGGCAGCAGAGTGAGACTCTGTCTCAAAAAAAAAAAAAAAAAAAAAAAAAACTGGACATCTTAGACAGGGATAGCCCATCTGATGAATTACAGATGCAAAGGCCTGATTGACAAGCAGCTGGTCCTCCAAAGCCAGCCCCTGGACAAAAATGGATGGACATCTTTGGAGAGATGGACGTGAATTCCTACAAGTCCCAAAACCTGTGCTTATAAGTAAAACCGGAGGTACTTTGTGTATAAGGGTTGTGTGGAGAGGATATTTAGTTTGGTGGTACCGTGTTAGGTGACACTAGGAGTCAGTGTAACATGGGCTTTGAATAAACAGAGTGACAAGTCAAATGGATTTTAAGTTTGACTATATTCCGTTTTACCAGTGCATTTAAAAGAAAGGTGTTCTAAGCTGGGTACAGTGGTGTATGCCTGTAGTCAGCTACTCGGGAGGCTGAAGCGGGAGGATTGTTTGAGCTTAGGAATTTAAGGCTGCAGTGAGCCATGATCATGCCACTGCACTCCAGCCTGGATGACAGAGCCAGACTCCATCTCTTTTTTTTTTTTTCTTTTATAAAAAGGATGTCCTAAAGGCTATAAAGGCTTCAGGCAATTCAGAGACCAGTGGGAAAGAAAGCAGAGCAGAATGTTCTAATGTATCCTAGGGCAGAAAGAAACATTGTTATTTTTTATTTAAATATTAGTAATGTTTGTTTCATTAATCCTATTATGTTTGTTTGTTTGTCTGTTTAGAGATAGGGTGTCTGTCACCCAGTCTAGAGGGCAGTGTCACAGTCATGGCTCACTGCAGCTTCAGCATCTGGGGCTGAAGGGATTCCTCCCACCACAGCTTCCTGAGTAGCTGGGACTACAGGCACGTGCCACCACACCCGGCTAATTTTATTTGTTGTTGTAGAGATGAGGTCTCACTATGTTGCCCCTAATTTATTTTTTATTTTTTATTTTTATTTATTTTTTTTAATTTATTTTTTTATTGATAATTCTTGGGTGTTTCTCACAGAGGGGGATTTGGCAGGGTCATGGGACAATAGTGGAGGGAAGGTCAGCAGATAAACAAGTGAACAAAGGTCTCTGGTTTTCCTAGGCAGAGGACCCTGCGGCCTTCCGCAGTGTTTGTGTCCCTGATTACTTGAGATTAGGGAGTGGTGACGACTCTTAACGAGCATGCTGCCTTCAAGCATCTGTTTAACAAAGCACATCTTGCACCGCCCTTAATCCATTTAACCCTGAGTGGACACAGCACATGTTTCAGAGAGCACAGGGTTGGGGGTAAGGTCACAGATCAACAGGATCCCAAGGCAGAAGAATTTTTCTTAGTGCAGAACAAAATGAAAAGTCTCCCATGTCTACTTTCTACACAGACACGGCAACCATCCGATTTCTCAATCTTTTCCCCACCTTTCCCGCCTTTCTATTCCACAAAGCCGCCATTGTCATCCTGGCCCGTTCTCAGTGAGCTGTTGGGCACACCTCCCAGACGGGGTGGTGGCCGGGCAGAGGCGCCCCTCACCTCCCGGACAGGGCGGCTGGCCGGGCAGGGGGCTGACCCCCCCACCTCCCTCCCGGACGGGGCAGCTGGCTGGGCGGGGGGCTGACCCCCCCACCTCCCTCCCAGACGGGGCGGCTGGCCGGGCAGAGGGGCTCCTCACTTCCCAGTAGGGGCGGCCGGGCAGAGGCGCCCCTCACCTCCCGGACGGGGCGGCTGGCCGGGCAGGGGGCTGACCCCCCCACCTCCCTCCCCGACGGGGCGGCTGGCCGGGCGGGGGGCTTACCCCCCCCACCTCCCTCCCGGACGGGGCGGCTGGCCGGGCGGGGGGCTGACCCCCCACCTCCCTCCCAGACGGTGTGGCTGCCAGCCGGAGACGCTCCTCACTTCCCAGATGGGGTGGCTGCCGGGCGGAGAGGCTCCTCACTTCTCAGACGGGGCAGCTGCCGGGCAGAGGGGCTCCTCACTTCTCAGACGGGGCGGCCGGGCAGAGACGCTCCTCACCTCCCAGACGGGGTCGCGGCCGGGCAGAGGCGCTCCTCACATCCCAGATGGGGTCGCGGCCGGGCAGAGGCGCTCCTCACATCCCAGATGGGGCAGCGGGGCAGAGGCGCTCCCCACATCTCAGACGATGGGTGGCCGGGCAGAGACGCTCCTCACTTCCTAGATGTGATGGCGGCCGGGAAGAGGCGCTCCTCACTTCCTAGATGGGATGGCGGCCGGGCGGAGACGCTCCTCACTTTCCAGAGTGGGCAGCCAGGCAGAGGGGCTCCTCACATCCCAGACGATGGGTGGCCAGGCAGAGACACTCCTCACTTCCCAGACGGGTGGCGGCCGGGCAGAGGCTGCAATCTCGGCACTTTGGGAGGCCAAGGCAGGCGGCTGGGAGGTGGAGGTTGTAGCGAGCCGAGATCACGCCACTGCACTCCAGCCTGGGCACCGTTGAGCACTGAGTGAACGAGACTCCGTCTGCAATCCCGGCACCTCGGGAGGCCAAGGCTGGCGGATCACTCGCGGTTAGGGGCTGGAGACGGCCCGGCCAACACAGCGAAACCCCGTCTCCACCAAAACCAGTCAGGCGTGGCGGCGCGTGCCTGCAATCGCAGGCACTCGGCAGGCTGAGGCAGGAGAATCAGGCAGGGAGGTTGCAGTGAGCTGAGATGGCAGCAGTACAGTCCAGCTTCGGCTCCGCATGAGAGGGAGACCGTGGAAAGAGAGGGAGACCGTGGGGAGAGGGAGAGGGCCCCTAATTTATTTGTTGATGTAGAGATGAGGTCTCACTATGTTGCCCAGGTTGTTTTTGCACTCCTGGGCTCAGGTGATCCTCCTGCCTCAGCCTCCCAAAGGGATTACAGGTGCGAGCCACCATGCTTGGCCTATGTTTTATTTTAAAAAAACATAAATAATAAGCCAGGTGCAGTGGCTCGAGCCTGTAGTCCCAGCTATTCAGGAGGCTGAGGCAGGTGGATCACTTGAGTGCACTCTAGCTTGGGTGACAGAGCAAGACCTCATCTCTAAAAAATAATTAATGTAATATAGCCTATCAAATTTAAGTATTCGAGCAAAAAGTTATTTCTGTATCAGAGGACAGAAACGTTATAAAAATATTAATATTTTTCCTCATACATATCAATCATTTAACTAGTCCACCTCCTAATTGCTACTAATTGCCGCTGTTAACAGTTCCTATTGTTGTTTACATAATAGCATTAATCTAATGGAAAAGTAAATAATACAGAATAAATGATGCTGAGACAACTGAATATCCACATGTGGACAAATGAGATTGAACTGTGTCCTTACAGCAGTACACAAAAGTTAAAGTAGATCATAGGGGGCCGGGCATGGTGGCTCACACCTATAATCCTAGCACTTTGGGAGGCCGAAACAGGTGGATCATTTGAGGTCAGGAGTTTGAGACCAGCTTGGCCAATGTGGTGAAACCCTGTCTCTACTAAAAATACAAAATTAGCCAGGTGTGGTGGCGCGCACCTGTAGTCCCAGCTACCTGGGAGGCTGACGCATGAGAATCGCTTGAACCCAGGAGGCGGAGGTTGCAGTGAGCCAAGATCACGCCACTGCACTCCAGCCTGGCCGACAGAGTGAGAACCCGTCTCAAAAATAAATTAAAAAATAATAAAAAATAAAACAAAGTAGACCATAGATCTAAATGTTAGAGCTGAAACTACAAAACACTTGAAGTAAATACAGGAGTAAATCTTCATGACCTGAGTTAAGCAAAGCCTTCTTAGATGCAAGACCAAAAGCACAAGTAGCAAAAGAAAAAAGTAGACAAACTGGACTTCATCGGAGATTAAGATTTGTGCTTCAAAGGACACCATCAAGGAAGTAAAAAGACAAACCACAGAATGGAGAAAATAAATCATGTGTCTGATAAGGGACTTGAATTCAAAATACATAAAGAACTCTTAGAAAAACTCAGTAATAACCCAATTTAAAAATGGGACAAGGATCTAAATGGACATTTCTCCAAAAATTACAAATAGCCAGTAAGCACATGAGAAGATGCTCAGCATCGTTAGTCATTAGGAAATGCAAATCAAAACCACAGTGAGATGGCACTTCACACCCACTAGGACGGCTGTAGTAAAAAAGATAATGACTGGTGTTGGCGAGGGTGTGGAAGCATTGGAACTCTCAGACACTGCTCGTGGGAATGTAAAATGGCACAGCTGCTTTGTTAAACAGTTTGACGTTTCCTCGAAAGATCAGACAGCCTAGTGATGTCTGCTGTGATATGGTAATTGGGTTACCCTATGACCCAGCAGTTCTCCTCCTAGGTATCTGCCCAAGAGAAATGAAAACGTATGTCCACACGGCAGACATGAGTGTCATTACATCAGTGTCATTAGTCATAATAGTCAGACAGTGAAAATAACCTGAACGTTCCTTCTGCTGATGAATGGATAAATGAAATGTGGTATATCCATACGGTGGACTACTTTTTGACCATAGGAAGGAATAAAGTACTGATTGATGTGACAACACTGATGAACCTTGAAAACATGCTAAGTGAAAGAAACCAGCCACAAAAGCTCACGTGATTCTATGTATATGACATGTCCAGGATAGGCAAATCCATGGACAGAAAGTAGATTAGTGTTTGCCTGGGGCCGGGGGCGTTGGAGGAGGACAGAAATGACTGCAGTCGGGTACAGGATTTCTTTCTGAGGTTATGGAAACGTTCAAAATTGGTTGTGGTGATGGTTGCACAACCCTGTAAATATACTGAAAACCACTGAATTGTACTTAAATGGGTCAGTTATATGCTCTGTGAATTATATCTCAATAAAACTTAATATACAGAAAGTATACAATAATATGTCATTTTGAAGAAATACTTGTTTCTTAATACATTGATGTTAAAGTAGCGACATATTCATGTTAAGGTAATGACATACATGTGCATAAATCTGTATTATCATGTTTGGGGATTTTGGGGGTCTGGCATGGCTGTGTCCTGGGTTGGCTCCCTAGAAAGCTGGTTACTTTCATCCTCCTATCACTTAGGTTAATAAGCATGAAATTGGTTGCTAGATGGCAAAATGTGCCCAAAAGCCTGTGAGCTGCTTTGGTGGGGGGCCCACTGGAGAGGCAAGGATGCGCCACCCCTCCCCCAGTCTGGGTGGGCACGGGGAAGCAGCTCATACCCTAGCTGTGCCCCTGCAGCCTGGTCACAGCCTTACCCCTTACACCCCTTTCTGTGCTCTGGCACGCCATGCTGCCACCCACTTGGTAGCCTTCTGCTCATGTGGGACCCCTGCCTTAGAGTGATTTCCGCGATGGGCTCTGCCTGCCCAGATTTTACCCCTCAATTTTGTTGATGCTCTCTTCCTCCTCCAGGCAGCCGGTTCTGATTTCTCTGCCTTGCTCTGAAGCCGCAGCTGTACTTTGCAGCTGTCTTTGGAAGTCAGCATCTCTGTCCTCCTGTGGGGTAGTTGGGTATCCGTGAGCTGCTCCTCTGGGCTGGGGCTCAGGTGTGACTCAGCTCTGCGTCTGTGGCACCCAGTCCCGGCCAGGTGCCAAACAGCCCTCCATTCCACCACCTCCACTCCCTTCCCACTCGATGCAGATGCAGTCTGCATCACAGGGCCTTGGCGCTCCAGGCTGGGCTCAGCCGCCCCTCCCCAGCCCCGTGACTCGTGGCTGTGGGATGTGACCTTTCTGGTCTTCCTTTCCGAGAAGGGTTTGATAGTTCCAGATAGGCTTGTGGGTGGGTAGAATCGACTCTTATCTCCAAGCCCTCATCTGCCACACCAACAGTTCTGCATGGGAGCCTCATCAGTGACCTCCTGCCACCACCCCACAGTCCCAGGGTGCCATGCAGTGCCTCCAGGGCCAGTGCCCTAGCTCTCTCTTCCCCACCACTCATCAAACCCCACCTCTTCTCACCGCCCAGCCCCAGGAAACATCTTCATTTCTAATTTCTTCCTTTTGTTAACTTGGGAGAGGGCCAGCATGACAGCTCCAGGCCTGCTGCCAGGTTCCAGTCCCAGCTCCTCCACCTCCAGCCTCTGGGACCTCAAGCAAAGCGTTTCCTCTCACTGCTTCTGTTTCCTCACCTGTGAAGTGGGGATGAGAAGCACAGATGTTTTGGTCCCTGGCCTGACATGGTCGGAGAGCTGTCCACATGTGCCTCTGTCTGGGGAACCACACTCTCCACACGGGGGATGGAGAGGGCCCTGTGGTGGGATCCGAGAGGCTCAGTTTCAGAGGTGCCTCTGTGTGGAGTTGGGTGGCAGTGGGCCAGTCCCTCTCCCTCACCTGGGTCATTGGAATGAGCACCTCTGCCCTGCAGCTTAGAGGGCCGAGGTGAGGACCCTGGCCCAGCTGCCAGGCAGGACATGTCCGAGTGTGAGCAGAGCCTGCCGGAGCAGGGGTTCCCCAGGGCCAGGACTCAAGCGTGGCTGCAGCCCCCTGCCTGTGAGGGGTGCAGAGGGCCAGGGCCCGCTGAGCTGCCATGCCCTGTGCTTCTTCCCCAGTTCCCGATGGGTCCCGGCTCGGACGGTCCGATGGGCGGCATGGGTGGCATGGAGCCACACCACATGAATGGATCATTAGGTGAGTGGCCCCTGCCCTCGCCATGCCCCACCCTGCCTGGGCAGCCAGCTCTGTGCCTCAGCTCCTGGCTCAGCTGGGCTTGGTACAGAGCCCTGGCCGGCCTTGGCTGGGCACACAGGACGATCCTGAGAGGGATGCCGCACAGAAAGCCCTCCGCACAGTGTGGGACTGGGATGGAAGGGCTTAGAGGCCCGAGGAGCCCAGGACGAGGGGAGACCCCTCCGTGGAAGAGCAAGCAAGAAACTGAATTGGATTATTTTTTCTTTCCAGGGT
Organism: Homo sapiens; assembly: GCF_000001405.40. NCBI lineage: Eukaryota > Metazoa > Chordata > Mammalia > Primates > Hominidae > Homo > Homo sapiens. Next base: position 54,228,474 of record NC_000001.11, on the reverse strand, counting down.
CAGGCGACATAGACGGACTTCCAAAAGTGAGTGTGCACTCGGTCTCCCTGGCGGCGCCCCATCTGTGTGGGCAGGTTGTTGGGGACACAGGTGCTCACCTCCTCTCCTCTTTCCACAGAATTCTCCTAACAACATAAGTGGCATTAGCAATCCTCCAGGCACCCCTCGAGATGACGGCGAGCTAGGAGGGAACTTCCTCCACTCCTTTCAGAACGACAATGTAAGCCTCGCCCCCTGCCTGTTGCTCTCGTCCCCACGGCCTGGGGACTCTTTCCTAACAAGTTGCGAGCTACGGAGCCGGGCTGCAGCCTGCCAGCTAAGCTGGTGGCCGTGTTATGGTTTTTCCACCTCAGTTATTTTTTTAGCAGAAGTGTGCAGCCTTGACGCTGCCCTGAGACTGCCTGCTGGTGGGGCCTTCTGGAGGCAGCTCCATGCAGGCTGGATGCCTCTGGCACTGATTAAGCTGATACGGCCGGGAGAGCCCTGGGCTGAGAGAGTTGGGGCAGTATTGCCCCACGGGTCCATTTCCATCTGTCCAGTGGGGAAAGGTTCGTGCAGCCAACGATTTTCAGGGCTCTCAACACGGGTTGGCTGTCTGCTTTTCTATAGTGGGCTTCTGTGTGCATTCTCATTTGAAGAAACAGTGTTATGATTAAGCAGCTTTCAAGAACCCCAGACTGCCAGCCTGGGCAACATGGTGAAACCTCATCTCTACATAAAAATACAAAAATTAGCCGGGTGTAGTGTCGCATGCCTATAGTCCCAGCTACTTGGGAGGCTAAGGTGGGAGGATTGCTTGAGCCCAGGAGGTTGAGGCTGCTGTAAGCCTTGATCGCACCACTGCACTCCAGCCTGAGTGACAGAGTGAGACCTTGTCTCAAAAAGAAAAACAGAAAAGAATCCCAGACTGGCCCCACCCCAGGGCACCCTGGCTGTGCTCTGGCTCATCAAAGCCCAGTTCCCTGCAGTCTGGAGGCCTGCACTGGGCAAGGGGCAGGGGCTGTGACTGCCATTGGAGAGGAGAGGATGACTCAGACAGGGGCAGGAGCAGGGGAGGCGCCGTCAGCTGCCTTAGTTCCCAACAGAAGGGCAGGCTGGCACTGAGAAGTGGCTCTTAGCTCCCGCCTCCTGGCCCTTATCCTGCCCTACCGGCCCCCTGCCCACTCCATGCCACCATGTGCCCCTCAGCTCAACCACATCCCCAAATGAGCCCTGCTCAGTTCTGTGCAGTCACCCCAGGCTCTTGGCACCTGGGTGTGTCAGCGGCCTCCCCACAATCCTCACCCCCCCCCCTTCTCTGCTTCTCCTTTCCAGTATTCTCCAAGCATGACGATGAGTGTGTGATCCCCCCTTCTCCGAGACGCTGAGAGAGCAGGCATTGCAGGCGGGAAGATGCCAGAAATTATGCAAGAAGTGAGGTGTCATTATCCAGGAGCTGGTGGGGAGGGCATCTCCCTGCTCCCCTCAACCCCCTCCCACCCCATCCACGCCCCCTACCTTTCCCAATTTTAGTTTCATGCAATAAAAAGGCCAAACTTTTTATTCCATAAAACAAGAAGGACAAAACTCTCAAAAATGTATTTCAAGTCAGTGACCAGAAAAATCCCACCCCTTGCCCTTTCCCCAAAGGACCTTTTCTGTACATGACACTTTTTTGTTGTTTTTTGTTTGGGGTTTTACCATTGTTGGGATTTTTTTATTTGTTTTCAGGGGGGTTTTTTGGGGGAAAATTTTTTTAAATGGAAGCTTCTAGCAAGCCCCCCACCCCAATCAACCTCTATGCTTTCTTCTTAAAAAAAAAAAAAAAGGAAAAAGGAAAAAAAAAAAAGGAAAACCAGAAGCCCTGCTGTCTGTCTGTGCCCAAGCCCTTCCACCAGAAAAGCTAGTCTAGGTGTGAGAGCCCACATTGTCTGTAGCCATCAAAAATAATAATAATAAACTGGACAGTTTACAATCGTTGGTTTCTTTCAAAAGGCCTTTTTTGGAAAGAAGAAAAGGCAGTCACCGTTTTCCACTTGGGGTTTTGGTTTGTGCAACAGGCAGGGGAGGAGTGGGGACGCGTTTGTTCTAGCTTGATTTCCATGGCAACAGCAGCGGCACGCTTGGACCCCAGAACCCAGCACCCTCATCCTGTGGCCAGAGGGGCCGGACCACTGACCCCTTTCAGGATTCCACCACAGCCCAGACCGTCACCGTGACCCGGTGGCATGCACTGTTCCCAGGACACCCTCCTCCTCTCCTGGACCTCCCTTCCGTCCTGGCCTCCCTGCCTCTCCAGCCCCTCCTCTGCCCCCACCCCAGTCTTCCCAGTGAGAATCCTGCCAGCTGGGTGGTGGCCTGGCGCAGAGTGGGAGAGGCTGCCACTGACAGGATGGCTATGACCTGGGACATGGAAACAGTGACCTCCGCGTTCTGGTCCCGAGATCCTCGCATCAGCGTCATCGTGTGCACCGGCTTGGGGGGCTGGAGTTCCGGTTTTCTTTGTTTTTTCTCTTTATTCGTCCTTTCTCAAAGATGGGATACTGATCAGAATTGCTCTGTATATGCTTGGGACTGGATGGAAAGACTTTGGAGCAGCTGTGGGGGGTGGGGGGACACCGACAACCAAACAGACGTGCTGGCTCCAGTCCTGTTTTTACTTTCAAAAACCAACAAGCCCGACAGTGGAGCCTGTCCCCTCCCGGGAGGGTGCTCATGGCCCCACTCACCTCATCACCCCACGGAAACCTTTGTGTCTTGCCCTGGAAGACACCCGAATTCTTTGTACATTGACATGCCCTTCTCCTTCCTCCCTCCCCTGTAGCTGGTCTTTGTTTTACTCCCTCCCTTTCTGATCCATGTATATCATATTATGTGAGATATCATCTGCCTGAAAAAAGACTTTGTGCGGATTATTGGGAACATTGTAGCTGTTTCTGTGTTTTTTCTTACCTTGTAGTCTGGTTCTGAATTAAGAGAGGAAAAAAAAGTAATTATGATACATTGTAGTTTGTGTACGATATATGTTGATAACGTTTTATTAAAGGGACATCTTTTTTCCGCAGCCCTTCCTGACATGTTTGGGGAATGTGGGTTGGAGTTTATTACACTGATTACAAAATGCAAGGTGACTTCTTGGGCACAGTTTTTGTTCCTGGTGCATAACAAGATGTTTTGTGTTTGAGGCGTCTGCCTTCTTTTCCTGGGCCTGCAAATTCTGTGTTCTTGTGGAGTCGCGATGGCCTTGGCGGAAGGTGGGTTGGGAGGGAAGGTATCCATCTCACTTTAAATATTTGGGGGCCGTCTAAAAGCCATTTTCCATTTCTTGTCTTGCAAACACATTTTGGTCCGCTGGAATGTCTTTTATTTTTCTGGAAGTAGAAAAAGGTTCCTCCTGGTGCCCTCTGTTTTCTATGGGGAGTCGCTATCGGCCAGGAGGGCCACAGCCACTCCCTGCTTTCTCCCCTCGGGTGGGACTGGCTTCACCCCAGGCCCCCAGCCTCAAGTGCCTGCTGTTGGCGACTGTTGGCACAGGGAGGTTGATTTTTTTTTTTCCTAAACCTCCAAGGTGTACTGGGAGCCCTTGAAGGGTTTTGAGAGTAGTGCAGTCTACTTAAATTTTGGAAAGTGTATGCTGGTGGTCTCCTGGGAGATGAATCAGGTGGGGCTGGCAAGATATGGAGAGAGGCATTCCCAGACGACATTTAGGCAAGAAATGCTGAGGGCTAGGGTGAGGTAAGCTGCTATGGATGCTGACTTGCACGACTAGAAAGAACTTTGTACTTCCCTGGAGCTCTGGGGACCTCATTCTAGGCTTGTAGCAGGAGCGGATGCCGTGGTGGGTGGGTGGGAGACAGAGGGTCCAAGCAAAGGGCAGGCTCAGCCCATGTTTATAAAGCCCTTAGGGGACCAGATAGCAAATTCCCAGGTTTAAATCTTGTTTGCTGCAACTTGCTGTGTGGCCTTGGGCAAATTAGTTGATACTTCTGTTCTCAGTTCTCTCATCTGCAAAATGGGGGATGGCGGGTTGGCTGCCTCATAGGCTGTGAGGAGGTTAGCACCGTGAAGTGCTTAGAACAGTGCCGTGCACGGACTAAGAGCAGCATGTGTTCGCTACAAGTGATGTTACTCGTGGGGAGAGTCCAAATGGGTGTGTTGGGGAGTAGCTGGGAGGATCTAGGAGATTCCATCTGGTCCTTCCCTCTTCACCTTGGAACAAGGTTTCCTAGGCTTTTGCTGAGTACAGACACCTTTGAACTATTGGAAAAGCATCTCCATTGGAGAGATGAAGAGACTGAGGCTGCGACTAACCTGTATCAATGGTGCTGACCCAGGGCTGGGGAAAGGAGGTTGGGTGGATGGGATATCCATCCGATACCTGTGCTCCTTGGAGCAGGAGTCAGGCACAGACGAGAGCCATGGGATCAGGGTGCCTAGCTGGAGGAAGGCAGGTCACGGGGCCCAGCCTGGGAAGAGCGCCTGCTGTGTGCTGTGCTACCCCTCAGCCTGGGGCCCCTCGGCAGCCTGGCAGTTGCCTTCACAACACAAATGGCCCTGGTGCAGGTTAGTTTGGCCTTCCTCAGGGGCAGATCTCTGAGCAAAGAACTGGTTCTTGTTCACTAAGCATTTTCATCACTGCCTGGGGCCAGGCCAGAGCTCTACATGAGCCAGTGGAAAGATACTGAAATGAGGAGGAGAAAAGGGAGCATCATGCCAGTCCTTCCACAAAATAGGGCTTCGGCCCATCACTGAGAGGTGCCGGAGTCGGGGGCCAGACCACAGCTTTCCTGCTGGAGTCATCGCTGTCCACAGGCACTTGATTCTAGGGGTCGGCCGGCCTGGGGGGCCAGAGGTAGGACCAGGCCTGAGACAGGACCCCACACCTGCCTCCCTGCTGGGCATCCCCACTGCCCCCTGCCCCAGAGCCAGGAAAGAAACTTAAGGCAAGTCGCTGACACCAGCAGCAGCATAGCCACTAACGCGCTAGGCCAGAGCAGGGCTCTAGCGGGGGTAAGAAGGCTGCTCAGTCTGGCTCCCTGGTGACCTGAGGAATCCCCCGCCCCAGTCTCGGCTGTCCCATGAAGTGGTGGGCTGTGTTCCCAGATTCCACAGACTCCAGGAGATTGAGCCCAGAACATACCTGGGGTCCCTCAGAGGGCTCTGACCCTGAACTGAGGGGAGCTGGGCCTCTTGGGGTTCAGGCCATGGGGCTCCCCTGGACTTGAGCAGAGTGGCTGGGCAGGGTGGGGTTACAGGCGGATGAGCGTTGCTCTGCCCAGCCCTGGGCTCACTGGGTACAAGCACTGGGGGCTTGGAGTTGGGGCTGGGGGTTGGATGTAAAAGATCAGACCAACGAGGGTGGGTGCTGAAAGGCAGAGGTTGTGTTCTCTCTATTCCCAGGGTGCCTGCGGAGCCGCAGAACCTGGCATCTGGTTTCTGGAATTCAGCCATGCCCTTGGTTTCCTGCCTCCCATGTCAGCCCTCCAGTGCCACAAAGACCATCTCACTTTGAGCCTCCATAGACTTCCTTCTTTCCATCCATCCACTCGTGTTTGCTGAGCACCCCTTTTATGCCAGGGGTTGTTCTGGCACTAGGGGTACAGTAGTGAACAGACACGGAAGGACAGAGATGCCGTTTGTGGAGGTGAGGCAAGCTGCAGGAAGAGCTCTGTTCTGGCGAGTTAAATTTGAGATGCTGATTTGATATCCAGTAAAGACATCAAGTAGGCAGGTCTGAACTACAGACATACCATGGGAGTTGTTGCCATTTAGAGGGTCTTTAAAGCCACCAGACTGGCTGAAATCATCTAGGGAATGAATGGAGAAGAGGCCGAAGGACTGGGCCCTGAGATCTGGGGAATAGGAGGGACCCACAAAGGCGACAGAGCAGTGAGTAGAAGACCAGGAAAGTGAGATGCCCTGGTGACCACGAGAAGAAAAGGGGTGCAGAGAGGAGAGGGCTTCTTGCTAGTGGGGAACCCAGGTGGCCACGCCCACCGTGACTCTGGGACCAAGTCCACGCTCCTCACAGCTTCCAGATAGCTGCAGGGCATGGAAGGGCCATGGACACTCCTGCTTTTCCTTGCCCCTCAGCACTTCACCTCCAACTTTGCAGTACTCTGTGGATGTCTGCCCCCCCAGGGCCTTTGTTCCTGCTGGCCCCTCCTCCTTCCCACTTGCCCTTCAGAACCTAGCTCAGATGGCCCCTCCTCCTGGAAGCCTTCCAGGCTGGGGTAGCTCTCTCCCTGGGTCCCCACAGCCTGGTTCAGTGTATGCTTCCCCCATCAGGCTGGGAGCTCCTCTAAGCCAGGGACCATGTAAGAGCCCTCTTCGTCCTGAGAATTGCCAGCACAGGTCCTGGTGCCCAGTAGGTGCTCGATGAGTGCTCTTGGAATAACTGGATGTTGTTGAGTAGCCCCAGAATGTGCTCAGTGGCACCCCTCCCTATGGCAAGCTGTCACCTGTGGGTGGGTAGGCGCCCAGGTGTGGGGAAGGAGGTGGCCTTTGTGGGTACCTGCTACTGCCAATCCAAAGGAGACCACTCTGGCCGTGTCCACCCAGTACCCCAGGAGCTCCCAGAGGGCGGGGACCATGTCTCCCTCATTCTGTAACTCGCTCCCAGCACAACACCTGGTACACAGTAGGTGCTTATTAAATGGGCTGCCCCCAAAGGAGGTCTACGGTGAGGGACCTCAGGGCTCAATCTCCAGTCTGGACCTATTCTTGGGTTCCATCATTGGCCTAGCTGGGGAGGAGGAGATCCATGGGTCTCGTGTACACGTGTGTGTGTGTGCACATGTCTGAGTGTGTGGTGTGTGGGTGGGAGTGTGACTGCATGTGTGGGAGTGTGATGTGCCTGTATGCATGTGTGCGCGCATGTATGCCTGTGCACGTGTGTGAGAGTGAACATGGCAGGGGCCATGTTGCTCTGACAAGCTGGCCTCTAAGGGATGGAGGTCCTGCCCTGGGCAGCACGCCCCCCTGGATGCAGTTTTTGGATATGAGGAGATGTATTCTGAGGGGAGAGGGTCCCTGGATCGGGGGTCTTCCAGCAGTGAAGCAGGTAGGCCTTATGGGTCATGGACATCTGAGTGTCCATGTTAAAGAGAGAGTCAAGACAATCGGGTCACCTGCATGCTTTCTGAGACTTTCACCCACAGCAAAAGAGGAACCAGGGAGATGCTGTCTAAAGCCCGAGAGGATCCTGTCCTGCTCCTGTGGGTTGTCACAGAGCCTCTGCCAAACACTTGCCCCAGGTCCAGCCTGAGCCAGCTTTGGGAGAGAACAGAGAGCAGCCTAAAGTGAGGTCCCCTCCAGCAAGTCCACCTTTCCACCTGGCTTCTAAGAAGAACTCCAAACCCATCGACTTGAAACCTTGGCGAATGGAGCCTATTTGATCCAAAGGTGGGGAAACTTGGAAGGGAGGTGCTGTATCCCCATTTTGCCAGCGAGGAAGTGGAGGATCTGACAGGGCAGCTGGAATACAGGAGGGGAAAAGTGGCTTTCCCCCAGGCCAAATTAGAATTCCCTTGCCACTGAAGCTTGCTGGAAATGAACTGAAGAACTTTTGAATGGAACAACCAGGAATTTAAATATATGAGACAGTGAGAAATACGTTCACAATGGGAATGTCACCATTTCATTTCCAAAAGTCTGCTGCTGGAAGTTCCTCTCGTGGGGTTTCGCTATCCAGCATGACCCGGCGCAGCACTCTCCCTGCAGCGTGCTCCTGCTCCTTCACCAGCTCACTGGCTGGGGAGCCTGTACTGGGCGGGAGGCTGGCTGAGGCCCTCAAGTTCCGCTGCATCACTTCCTCTCCTGCGTTGAATGAGGGAGTGAGGACGAAGCTGGTAGACATTTGGGATTTGGAGAAGCAAGGACCTGTCTGTGGAGGGGGCAGCTGTCATGACACACGAGCTTCCCAGCTCTTCACACTGCATCATGTGGTCTCTAAGCCTGTTTCCTCATCTCCATGGGGACAATAAAAAAAACCGCCAGTCCTGCCTGCCCCACTTTGCAGATCAGCTGTACTTTGCAGCTCCCTTGACACAAAAGTGTAGTTGGGTTCCAGGCTCCACAACTTAGCACTAAGGCCAGCATCCGAGCTGCCCTCATTCAGGGTGGGTTGGGAGGACAGGCTGCCCAGGCCTGCCCGGCAACCCTGGCCCCCTTCCAGGCAGTCCTCAAGCTACAAGGTCATCTGCTGATGGTCCGCTTACTCAGAGCCTCCGTCCCACTCGCTCAGGGCTCAAGTTCACCTCACCCTCCCTCCTCTCCAAGCAGTCTCCAGGGGCTTCAGCCTGCTCAGGATCACGCCAAGCCATCACCACCACTTGCCCCAGGATCCCCGCAGTGGCCTCCAGCTGGACTCCCTACCGCCATCCCACCAGCTCCTCCTCTGTACTCCCAACAGAGTGTTGTTTAAAAAAAAAAACGTTTGACTCAGCAATTCCACTGCTAGGAACTTACCCAATGGCTCTGCTGGCAAAACTACTCTAAGATACATGAACGAGGGTGCTCACTGCAGCATTATTTCTAATAACAACTGGAAACAACCCGGACTGCCATCAACAGATACTAATGTGGCTGCTCAAAAGAACGAAGAGATCCTATGTGGTGATGTGGCAAGAGCCTACAATCCAGAGACATCAGGTGAAAAAGGAAGTGCAGAACAGGCTGTAAATAGGATGACTCTTCAGTCATGTATATATGTGTGTTGTTATGATACATACACATTTTCACCAACAGCATGGAAGAAACTTGAAGCTCTGTTAACCTTAGAGAAAAGGACTAGCTAGGGATCACCTTGGGTGGGTCGACTTATCTTTCCCTGAACTCTGAACTTTTATCATTTATGTATAATTGTTTCCTGTCTGTAAAATAAAAAGTAAAATGGGCAGCAGGGCTCAGAGTACCCGGAGCCCCAGGTCAGCTGCCCTAGGAGGTGAGGTGCTTGGTGTTCAGGCCCCTCCCAAGCTGGCCACTCCAGCCCCAGCCAAGCCTCCGGCCTCCCCACTTCCAGTCACTTCCTGTCCCCATGGTCCTCTGTGCCTTGCTGCTTTTCCTGCTAATCCCTCAAGCCTAAAAAGTAAGCTTTCAAGTGGAAAGAGCCCAAGCCTGGGAGGCAGAGACACAGGCTGGACGCCACTTTGCCACTGCCTAGCTGAGAGCTCCTCCAGCTGCTGGAAGTTCCCACACTAACTGCTCTCAGCAGTCCCTCAGCAGGAATTACAGACCAACAAAGCCACCTCGCCCAAGGTCCCACCCGCTGTCAGGAAGCAGCACATATCCAATGGCTGGTGCCAGGCCAGGGGTGTTTGTAGAAGGCTCAACTCCCTTGCCTCTGGCTCCAGAGTGCCCATGAACTGGGTGAGGCCTCAGAGGCAGCCACACTGAGCTTGGGCCCGCCACCCCCACCTGCTGCTGCCTTCGCTCTCCACAGGTTCCTGTCCTAAAGGTTCTCCCCAAATAAAAGTCTCTAAGTGTTTCCTCGGGAAGCTGACCTATAGCACCAGGTGGGTGACCGTGGGCAAATTCCTTAAATTATCCGTGTTTTCTTCTTAGGGCCCAGAACAGTGCATGGCACATGCTAGGCATGCAATATTTTTCTTGAATATGGAAATGACATTTACCTTGTAAGGGGTGTGTGCAGATTAAATATGCTATGTATCAGGTGCTTGGCATGGCAGCAGTGTCTGGCACAGATCAGGACTTGACATTATTTGGACAGAGACCAGCTGAACCAGGGGTGTACTTGCCCCATTAACCAGGATACGAGGGAGAAATCTACAATAAATATGCTAGCGAGATTTTCTGCAGTCATTGTGGAATGTGTCCACAATTTAAATAATGCCATAAGAACCTAGTGACCATCAGCGTATCTGCCATGTGGCAGACACTACACACACATAACCCAGAGTCTTCAACGCCAGGTAAGTCACATTAGCCCCAGGTTTCAGATGAAGAAATGGAAAGAGACAGATGAAGATCCTTATCTAAGATCACAACATGGGTCAAGGGCAGAGCTGGGCTTCAGCTGGGGCAGGTCAGGCTCCAGGGCTTGGACTTGTGTGGGCGCCCTTCCCGATGGCACCCTCATACCAAACACAGGCTTCAGTGCAACGCAAGGGCTCTTTATTGTCAGCGAGAGCAGCAGGCCAAACGGGCACTGAGGCTCCACGGGGCCCAGGCCCTCTTCCGTGGAAGAGAGGCAAGAGGGGTTTCAGGATTCAGAGGGGTCCTCCGCTCACGCAGCACCATGCAAATATAGAGCTAAAAACTTTCTGAATGTCTCTGGCTTGAAACCAACTGGGCCAACAGGTTCCTGGAAAGAACACGGTTCATTAGGATCCTGCTACTAGGTTTAACGGCAGCAATTAAAACAAAGATTGGATTGAAGTAAATCTTCAGTGCCTGGACAGTAACTTTCTTTTTCTGACATCGTCTCTCTCTCGGACTAAGAAGGGGCATTGAGGGGCTGTAGCCTGGGAGGACAGGAAGCATTCCCAGCCCCCTTCAGCCAAAACAACTGTTGACGCTGCTCTGCTCCCGAGGCCCTCTCACTTCCACCACCAGGAATGATGGTTGAAATGGGCTGCTGCCCTCTCTAATCCCAGGGACAATCATCCCTCACCCATTCCACACACATTTATTGGGCACCTGCTTGCTTTCTGCTGCGCCTATATCCTGTGCTGGAAACAGACACAGCAGTAACTTGACTCTGGTTCCTGTCCTCAAGGAGCTTACCGTCAGCTGTTCAAATAGTGAAAATGAAAGGAGACAGACCCCACTGCAGAAGTAGGAAAAAGAAGAAAGCAGGAAGAAATGACTGACTTGCCGACATTTATACATGGAAGGGTGAGCAGAATGGGGCAGAAAGAAAAAGAAAAGGAAGGAGACTTCAGAAAGCCCAGCACATGCAATAGAAGAAGTAGAAATGAAGGCAGGAAGGGCAAGATCGGGCTGGAGCCCAGGGCGAATGCTGAGGGGTGGAGCGGCAGGAGATGAGGCTGCAGAGGTGAGGAGAAGCTGTCTCCAAACCACAACAGGCCCAGCCCTGAGTCAGTATCCTGGAAGGGAGAGGCTGAGGGAAGAGAACCTGAAGACACAGAGTCAGGAGGGAAAACCTGACTAAGAGCAGAGAGCACGGAGGTGGCTGGTGTGACTATGCAGGTGAACTGAGGGTGTCTGGGGCCAAAGCAAAGGGCACAGACCCAGCAGGCATTTCAGGTGGAAACAGCACTGAGAGCTGCTGGAGAACCAGTTCAAGAACGGACCTGCTGAGAATGTTCAAAGGCTCAGCGACTCCATTTAGCAAGCCCACACTCAGGCCTGTGTGGGGCCTGGTTGGTCCCAGAGCAGGCAGTACCCCTACTCCGCTTTCGCAGTCCTGACCCTGCTGTAGGTCTCTCCAGGGTGCATATTACTGCCTGATGCTCTATCAGGAATTTATTTAGATACTGCTACTGCCCACTACACAGAGAGCAGGCCTGGACCCCGTCAGCTGAGCAGTGGGGTGCAGCACAATGGTGCCGCAGGAGGAACTCCGTATCTGTGGGATGAAACGAATGCATCCCCAGACCCTGCCCTCAAGGATCTAGGAGCTTGGAGTTCTGTTTGGTGGAGGAAAAAAAACATGTGAAGAGGTTCTACGCACAGCAATGTGATCGTGCTCTGATGGGGGAATACGGAGGCCAGGGCAGCCCACCTGAGGCACTTAAGTGAGGGTTGGGATGGGGACGGTGGTGGTCAGAAGTTTCCCAAAATAAGAAACACTTATGCTAAACCTGGAAGGACAAGTGGAGGATAGCCTGACAAACAGTAATGGGGAGGGGAGAAGGCAAGAAGCCTCCCAGACAAAAGGAGCAGCACCTACAAAGGCCAGAGCTAATGAAGCCGCAGAGCACCCTGGGAGCTGCGAGGAGCTGGATTGGCTGGAGGGTGCAAAGGGAAGCAGGAGCTGGAGTGGAGCACTGGGCAGGGCCTTAGGTAGGGGCGGGACTGAAGGAGTCCTCCAGGCAGAGATCCCGGGTGGGAAGTCCCCAGGGCCAGGGCTCTCCTCACAGAGCACCCCAGCAATCCCACCTGAGGCTCACACCAGGTAGGAGGAGGCATGGCCCTCCTGGGTCAGGCAGGAGATGGCTCAACTTACCACAACCACTCTCTTTTTGATCACTGGGAGACACCAAAAATGCTGATAGAGGAGCTGGTCTGAGTCCACCCAGGCCAAATTCTTGACACCCTCGTTACAGTCCAGGTCTGTGGTATTCAGTTGAAACACTAGGAAATGGAAGACACGTCCATCCGTGCCCACGCTCTGCACCACCACGGGCTGCTCCAAGACCTTGGCATCATTCTGAGAGGAAAAGGGGACAAGGAAAACAAATCAGAAGCTGTGGAGTGTAAGGAACAGCACGGCCCAGGCAGCTTCTAGTTCTTCCCTTTACAACGTCCACCTACGTCCACTGAATGGCTTCTCTTTGGGACAATTAAAATAGAATGAGGAGTTCAGGGCACTGTCCAGGGCCGGGCCTTCCTTCACCCAGGCTGGCTGTGCCTCATGGCCCCAGGGTGCCTGCTCTTCTATTTGAGCACATCAAAGTAATAGTTCCTGCCACTGAGAGGCGATTTCCAGGCAAGCCAGAGTTCAGGCAGGCCAGCTGGGGGGTTAATGACAGAAATCCCTCAAACTCCTGGCGTTACTTGATAAGGACCACAGTGACATCAGCTATCAAATGTGAATCCGGAGGGTCAACGGATAGATATAATCTCATTCAGTTCTCACCCCATTTGACAGATGAGGAAACTGAGACTCAGTGAGGTAAAGTGACTTGCCGGAAGTCACGAAGATGGGTGGTGTAGAACCCAAACAGGCTCATGCCAGACCACACCCTTCCCCCACGCCCCTGCCTTGCTTCTAAGGGCCTGGCAGTCACATTCACTGGGCTTCATGCTGACGCTGCAACTCAGCACGGGCCATGTTTCTGGAGTATCCACTCCAGCCATGCCAGCGCCAGGATTTCACCAGTCAACTCCTGCTACTGATCTCTTCTAGTTACTGCCACTTGGTAATAGTAGTAACACCTAAAATCATTTACTGAAGGCCTCTCAGGTGCCAGGCATCTTGCCAGTTTTACATCAGGTCACCTCTACTCTCATAAATCTAGAGGTATATTCCCACTAACAGATAAGGAAACTGAGGTTCAGAGAGGTGGTATAATTTGCTCCAGGTCACCCATGGGGATCAGACTCCATGCTATTAAGTCACTGAAAGCCCTGTTGTTCTGGTTTAATCCTGGTGTCCCAGTGTATCTAATAGCGGCACCTCATTATTCTCAATGGTGTCCCAGTTTGGGAGATAAATCATATGGTGACCTGCTGAGACTTTGCAGCAATCCAGTTTGGTGACTGCTACTCACTGAACAAAGATCCAACAGGCAGGCCCCATGAAGCAGGCCATCCTTGATTCAAAAATGCTGCCTGTGTTCACCCCACTGGGGCTGAATCTGGCATTAGGAATACCTAATGTCAGACCTCAGTGTGGGCCACACTGGGGCTGTTGGCCTTAGAAATACCTGTTCTTAGCTGCATGAAAAATAAATAAAAAGAAAAGTACCTGTAAGTGTTAGCCGAGAATTCTGTATTGACTCTTATCTCCCTCTACAGATCAATAAAACTGCAGGTAGTACATAAATTTCTCAGCAATTTTACCTTTTACATGGAGGCTCTTCCCATAATTGCTCAACTTCACATCCCCAGGAATAATTTGTGCCTGGAGGGGCTGAAGGAGGCCTCCACTCCTACCCAACTGGGTGGTAATTAGTTGTATCGTTGCTACCCAGACTCTGATGGCAATAGCTGGCACAGAGGCTACAGCGAGTCTGCAGGCCTGGGACCAGGGTTGTGACTATCTCTGCCTCCTTCTCCTGCCTGAGTTGGGAGTAGCACATCCTTCAAAACTGGAGAGATCATGTTCCAAGCTTTGCTTCCCCACTCATTAGCTGTGGGATCTTGGACAAGTTACCTAATCTTTCGGAGCCTTCAGGAAGTATATAGTCAGAGAATGGGAATAAAGACAATTGTCCTAGGATTGGAAAGACACAAGGTCACATAAAGATCTGACAGCTACTAATTTCTTAGCTGTGTATCCTTGGGCAAGTTCCTTAGCCTCCCTGAGCCTCAGTTTCACCATCTATAAAATGAAGCTAATAGCATCTGCCACATGGGGTTAAAAAACTACAAGGATTAAATAATGCCATGTTCTGAAATTTCAGTTCAGTGGTTGCCTTTTCTTTTTTCTTTTTTTTCCTTTGAGGCACAGTCTCACTCTGTCACCCAGGCTGGAGTGTAGTGGTGCAATCTTTCAGCTCACTGCAGCCTCCGCCTCCTGGGTTAAAGCAACATTCATGCCTCAGCCTCCCGAGTAGCTGGGATTACACGTGCATGCCACCACACCCAGCTAATCTTTGTATTTTTAGTAGAGATGGGGTTTCGCCATGTTGGCCAGGCTGGTCTCGAACTCCTGGCCTCAAGTAATCCTCCCACCTTGGCCTCCCAAAGTGCTGGGATTACAGGTATGCACCATCACACCCAGCTAATCTTTGTGTTTTTAGTAGAGATGGGGTTTTGCCATGTTGGCCAGGCTGGTCTCGAACTCCTGGCCTCAAGTGATCCTCCTACCTCGGCTTCCCAAAGTGCTGGGATTACAGGCGTGAGCCACCGCACCCGGCCAGTTCAGTGGTTTTTAAACTCGAGCTTGTAGCAGCATAACTGGGGGGCTTGTTAAAACGCTGATCGCTGGGCCCCAACCCCAGGGTTTCTGATTCAGCAGGTCTGGGGTAGGTCTGAGAGTATGCCTTTTCAACAAGTTCCCAGATGATGCTTCTGCTGCTAATCCAAGACTATATTTTACGAACGAACCACTGATTTTTTTTTTTAATAAAAACCCTAAATAAATGTGTGGTATGCAGCAGGTGCTCAATCTGGGCAAGGCCCATTCCACTCCCTATCCATTTGGCTAACCATGGCTCTCCAACTCCCCCTAGGCCAAATAAGATGGGAAACAGTACTTTTCCTCATTCCTCCTCTAGAAAAGACTCAGGCTCTAACCAAGACCTGGGGGTCCAGCAGTGGCTCTCATGAACTACCCCCCAACACACCCCAAACCAGGGATCTGGTGTCCCAGGCCTGCTTGAGGGCTCCCATATAGCCCTCCCCTCCCTGGAGGCCTTTGCTCCCAGAGCCAGGCTTTCCCCATCTTGGGACAGCTCTCTGTGACAAGTTAGTTTGTATTCTATACCATCTAGGTCCCTGAAACCTCCTCTTAGGATCAGGGGATAACACCAACGAGTATCTTGGGTCCCCAGCACCCATCCTGAGTTGGCAGGCAGGGCTTGGCCATCTCTATTGCTCCACTTCCTCCTGCCTGTGCTCCACTTCTGCCACTACAAGAACAGAGGCAGCATGCTGCAGCACAAACAACTGAAGACTTCAGAGTGGGGCAGACCTAGCTGCAGTCCTATCTCCACCACTTAGTGCTGTGTAATGCTGATAAGCTGCATGGCCTCCCTGTAATTCTATGGCATAGCTTAGAAAGTGGGGACTTCAGTAAAAACATGTGGGCTACTGTGATCAAGTGAGCTACTTAGGTGAAGCACAGGCAGTCACCCCCTAGTGATGTTGGCTCATCTCCACAGGGTGGGCTGAAGTACTCCTCCCTAAAACTCCTCAGTCAAGAAATCAGTTCCCCTATATCCCTTTTCTTCCTCTGAGCAGTAACCTTAAGGGAGGAGACCAACACCACGTAAAGCAACTCAGTGGTCTTCTCCACCTACATACCCCATAGAGGAGCCGGGCCTGAGCCAGGGCACTGCCAAAAGCAAACAGGATCATCTTGGCCCGCAGCTGATCTGGTTGAAGGCGGTGTGGTCGTAAATTGGCTTTGTCCAGTAAGTACAGGGTATGGGGATAGGGGTAAGGATAGCCTTCCTGGAATCCTGCAAGAGACACAATTATGTGGAGGGGTGGAAAGGATTCATCAGCCTGCCACAAAGCCTCAGGAAAGTCACCTCGCCTTAGCCCAGGGACAGGTGCTACAGAGAGACTCAACAAAGGTGGATACTATCACTATAGCTCGGGGGCTGGCAAACTTCAGCTTGCTGGCCAAATCTGGCCTGCTACCTATTTTTGTAAATAACATTTTCTCTGGAGCACAACCACATTCACTCATTTACGTATGACTATTGGGTAGCTGTGACAGAGACCATATGTGGCCTGTAACACCTAAAATATTTACTGTTTTGACTCTTCACAGAAAATGCCTGCCAACCTGTTATAGGTGCTGCCTGCAAGCTAGTTCTAACTCCACACCTTTCTCTCTCATTCTGGCACACAGATGACAGTGATGTTAGGAGAAGGAGAACTTGAAATCTGTGGTAATTATTCAAAAGAAAGCAAGTCATTTGCAAAATTTACTACTTTAATATTAGTGACAAATGACTTGCCTCATCATTCACAACTGACCCACACAACACTGGTGCTGAGAATCAAAGTTTAGTACTTGTTCTTTTCAGCCATGACCTTGTCAAGTCATGATTCTCTTCTCCCGCATGGCTACGAGTAACTCTTGGTAGGCTGGGAACTTCTAGAATAAGTGATCTGGATCACTGAATATAGGTGAAAAGAAGAAAGAAAGACGTCGGGAAGGCTGGGCATGGTGGCTCATGCCGGTAATCCCAGCACTTTGGGAGGCTGAGGCAAGCAGATCGCCTGGGCCCAGGAGTTTTAGACCAGCCTAGAAAACATAATAAGACCCTATCTCTAAAAAGAATACAAAAATTAGCCAGGTGTGGTAGCACATGCCTGTGGTCCCGGCTACTCAGGAGGCTGAGGTAGGAGGATTGCTTGAGCCTGGGAGGTCAAGGCTGCAGTGAGCAACAATTGTGCTACTTCACTCCAGCCTGAGTGACAGACTGAGAGACCCTGTCTCAGGGAAAGAAAAAAAAAAGAGGCTAGGAAAATAATGTAGGCTCTGAAAAGCCTAGAGGAGGCATGGCTCTCCTGCATGTTTGGTCCTTCAGCCTGCTCAGGTATTCGGCACAGGTAAATATCTAGAACTCACTCTGTGCCAAGCTGTAAGACAGGTACCAGGAATGGAGGCCAAGCAGAGCCTGCCACTGCCTTTGAGGAGCTCACAGTTTAGAGGGGAGACAGACAGGAAAACTGACCATATCTGTATGGAGGGACATGTCAAGATGTGAGGTAAGTCAGGGGCTGTGGGAGGACAGCCGGAAGGACCCTGATGAGACTGGAAGATCCCAAAGCATTTCTGAGAGAAAGTCATTCCTAAGATGAACTGTGAAAGATGACAAGTTAGCAAGCTGAAGACCAAAAGGGAAGAATGGCCAAGAGCTTCAGCAGAAGGAGAGGAAGTGACAAGGCATGGAGGTGAGAGAGGGCATGATGAATTTAGCACAGTCACAAGAAACAGGGCAGGCAGGGGAGGAGGCAAAGATGAGGCTGGGGATGGGGCAGAGACCAGATGTGAAGGCCCTTTCACGATAAGCAAAGGAGTTCCAACTTTACCAACAGGCCACGGGGAGGTGGGCATGAAGACAGATGGGATGAAAGTGGTGTTGGGGAAAGGCTACTCTGGAATTATGAACTAGATGGACCAGAGAGAAAATAGTGTGGGGTCAGACAGACCAGCTGGGAGGCTGTGGCAATAGGCTAGGTAAGGACAGTAAAGACTGACCTAGGTTGTGGCTATGACAATGAAGGGGTTTATGAGGAAGATGCTACAGCTCATGAGGACACAGTGGATGGCAGGAAGTGGGGGCCAGCCTAGTCTCACTCCCTTGTGATGTCTTGCCTGACGGAGTACATGGTGGTCCCTTGCTTGATGGAGTTTGGATTAATGGCCCCATTCAATGTCTATGGGGCTTCCTCAGTTCCTAAAGGGGGTTGGCCAGAGTTTACAAGGTAAACAGAAAATGGGTGCCTTTCATGGGACCTATGAATAAAGAAAAAGCCTTGGTGAAAAGCCCCTCAAACGCCCAATGATACAGTTTGCTGAAGAAAAAAAAAAGTCCCTCAAGCCACTCTGATGTAATAGAGTTACTTCTCCAAGGTAAAAAGTAAAGTTAGTCTTTGAGCAAATCACTTAACTTCCCTGAGCTGCAGTTTCTTTGCCTATGAAATGGAGATAATAGTACTTGTCTCATGGGGCTGCCACATGGATCCTAGGAGATAGGTAATACACACGAGGTGCCTAGCACCTAGCAAGTTCTTAGTATATCCTTTCCCTCCAGAAAAAGCATGTCCTTCTCCTCCACACTGCCTAAAAGTCCAAGACATTGATCCTTACCTGTGTCATTTTTCACATCATAAATATTGCATTCATGAAGATCGATGATGGGTGATATGGGGTAGAAGGTCTCTAGAACATGATTCTTAGTAGCTTCAATCTCCTCTCTGGAGGCGATGGTGGGCAGAGGATCCTTAGTGCTCAGTCGGGCTCCACCAGAACCACGGACTTGAAGGAGAAGAGACTCTAAAAGGGAGAAAAATGGTTACTCTAACCTGGTACTAAAGGCTTTCGCAGCTAGGCGCAGTAGCTCATGCCTATAATCCCAGCACTTTGGGAGGCCAAGGCAGGTGGATCATTGGAAGCCAGGAGTTCTAGGTCAGCCTGGGCAACATGACAAAGCCCCATCTCTACTAAAAAATACAAAAAATTGGCCAGGCATGGTAGGCTCACGCCTGTAATCCCAGCACTTTGGGAGGCTGAGGCGGGTGGATCACGAGGTCAGGATATCAAGACCATCCTGGCTAACGCGGTGAAACCCAGTCTCTACTAAAAACACAAAAAATTAGCCGGGCATGGTGGCTGGCACCTGTAGTCCCAGCTACTCGGGAGGCTGAGGCGGGAGAATGGCATGAACCTGGGAGGCGGAGCTTGCAGTGAGCTGAGATGACGGCACTGCACTCCAGCCTGGGTGACAGAGTGAAACTGTCTCAAAAAACTTAAAAAAAAAAAAAAAAAAAATTAAAGACTTTCTCAATCCTGCAAAGTCTAAAGCCTTCATCCTCCCATGTGCCTCAAGTCATTTATAGCATTTCTTGATCAGCCTAATCACAGAACACAAAACTTTGAGTTAGGATGTTAATCCTGGGATCCCTAAGAGGGGATGAACCAATGCACTCTTCTTCCTGTGTTCCCTTCCTAGTAAACCCTGAGGGCTGATGGTCTCTGGGGAGCGAAGCCTGCCCCATCCAGATCTTCCTGAGCACCTGCTGTAACCTGGGGAACCAGAGATGTGTGAGAGTTACTCTCTCCTCTCAAGGAGCCCACCAGGTAGTGAGTGCTACAGTGAAAAGGATGAAACATATTCAAAAATTGTACAGGTGGGGAAAACTGAACTTCTCTGGGAATGGGAAGTTCCCTGAAAGAAGCAATGCCTTAAAATGACATCTGGAAGGATGGATAAGAGCAGAGATTCTCAACTGCAGCACTATTCACATTTGGATCAGATAACTCTTTGGCGGAGTGGGGGGAGGGAATGTCCTGTGTACTGTGGGATGTTTAGCAGCATCCTGGCTTCTACTTACTAGATGCCATTTTAACTCCCTCCCCATCCCAACTCCCCACACCCCATCCACATCATGTCAAAGATGTCTCCACACACTGCCAAATGTTCTCCAGAGGGAAAAACTGTCCCTAGTTGAAAACCACTGGGTAAGAGCTTGCCAGGCAAAGAAAGGGGGAAAAGCACTCTAGTTAAGGAGGAATAATGTGCAAAAGTCAGGTGCAGGCAACTCCGTGGCAGAATTTAAGGAGAGAAATCCAGGTGACTAGAGTAGGATACAGCAGGGAAGAAGTGATGGAGAGAGAGAGGAGCACTGAGACTAGAGTTAGAGAGGAGATTCTTTTTTTTTTTTTTTTTTTTTGAGACGGAGTCTTGCTCTGTCGCCCAGGCTGGAGTGCAGTGGCGCAATCTCAGCTCACTGCAAGCTCCGCCTTCCGGGTTCACGCCATTCTCCCGCCTCAGCCTCCCGAGTAGCTGGGACTATGGGTGCCCATCACCATGCCCGGCTAATTTTTTTGTTTTTGTATTTTTAGTAGAGACCGGGTTTCACCGTGATAGCCAGGATGGTCTTGATCTCCTGACCTCATGATCCACCCACCTTGGCCTCCCAAAGTGCTGGGATTACAGGAATGAGCCACCGCACCCAGCCAAGGCAGAGGAGATTCTTAAACTTAGGAAAGGGGCCAGATTGTCCTTAACAACTGAGAGTGAGAAAACCCTAGCCAGTCAAACAGCCTCACTGAAGTCGGATTAGCATATATGCTACATGCAGACGTAGGTGACAAGAGGAAAACAAACTCACATCTGACTCATCAGCAAGCCAGCCATTGTGAACATGCATAGATGCCCTTCACAGAGGTCCCCACAGGAGGTCACATGCTACCACCAGACAAAATGTGCCTGGAAAAACACCTTGAGAATGGCCTCCTGAGGAGTATCCACGGAGGCAAATCTTTCTCAGAAGGTGCTTGGGTTTTCAGAAATAGCCACAGTGTGATGGTAATGGATCAAGGCCGGTTTTCTTGTATGTCTAAGAATTGGTTTGGTCAACAGCACTGTCATTAATTAGCATGTGGCCTCCCTTACTGGATAGGTAAGAAAGGGATACTACATCTGGGGGTGGATAAACTCTGATCTGTCACACCTCAAGAATAGTTTTCTAAAGTATTTCCTGTTTCCTCACATATAATCTGCAAGAAAAATAAATGTGCATGGACCTCTCTTAACCTTGGGTTTTCCATTCTCCCCACAGACCACTCTTGTGTGGTTTCTGATTCAATTCCCTCCATATCCCTCCTCCAGTGACAGCTCCAAATGGGGTAGTTTAATTAGAGGTAATACTTGATGATGGGCCAAGTACTCCTCTATTAATGAGGTTCACTAATTTCCTTAGTGGTGTCATTACCTCTGCAAAGCTGACTCATTGCCAGGAAGTCTATACACAAATCCTGACCAAGCAGATGTCCTGAAATCCCAGATCATTCCGTAGCTGGTTTTCCTGCTCCAGGATTCCACCAGTTAGAACACCTGTGTTCTCTGAACATCCCTGCCTGAAACACCAACAGTAGGTATATGCATTTACACATCCCTTCAGTCAGCACCTACTGTGTACCATGAACTGTTAGACACTGTGGACAATGTGAGTAAGATATGGTCCCAGCCATTAGGAGTTCAGTTGAGTGGGGTAGACAGAACCGACAGTAGATACTGACAATACAGTGTAATCTGTGCTATGATGGCAGAATGGGCATAAAGAACACAGAGGAGGAAAAGATACCCCAGCCTGGATTCACAGAGAAGGGGGGCTTGAGTGAAGTCTTGCAGATAAGGAGAATTTGGTTAAATGAAGAAAGCAGCGGGCCAAGCACGGTGGCTCACGCCTGTATTCCCGCAGTTTGGAAGGCCAAGGCGGGTGGATTGCCTGAGGTCAGGAGTTCAAGACCAGCCCGGCCAAAATAGTGAAACCCCGTCTCTACTAAAAATACACACACACACACACACACAAAAATTAGCTGGGCATGGTGGCGGGTACCTGTAATCCCAGCTACTTGAGAGGCTGAGACAGGAGAATCACTTGAACCCAGGATGCGGAGGTTGCAGTGAGCTGACGCCACTGCACTCCAGCCCAGGCAACAAGAGCAAAACTCCATCTGGAAAAAAAAAAAAAAGAAAAGAAAAGAAAGCAGAAAAGAGTATTCTAGGCCGGGAACAGTGGCTCATGTCTGTAATCCCAGCACTTTAGGAGGTCAAGATGGGCAGATCACTTGAGGCCAGGAGTTCGAGACCAGCCTGGCCAACATGGTGAAACCCCATCTCCAATAAAAATACAAAAATTAGCTGGGTGTGGTGGCATATGCCCATAACCCCAGTTACTCAGGAGGCTGAGGCACAAGAATTGCTTGAACCCGGGAGGCAGAGGTTGCAGTGAGCTGAGATTGCACCACTGTACTCCAGCCTGGGCGACACAGCAAGACTCTGTCTCAAAAAATAAACAAACAGGCCGGGCGTTGTGGCTCACACCTGTAATCCCAGCACTTTGGGAGGCCGAGGCAGGCGGATCAGGAGGTCAGGAGATCGAGACCATCCTGGCTAACATGGTGAAACCTTGTCTCTACTAAAAATACAAAAAATTAGCTGGGCGTGGTGGCGGGCGCCTGTAGTCCCAGCTACTCGGGAGGCTGAGGCAGAAGAATGGCGTGAACCCGGGAGGTGGAGCTTGCAGTAAGCTGAGATTGCCCCACTGCACTCCAGCCTGGGTGACAGAGCGAGACTCCGTCTCAAAAAAATAAATAAATAAAATAAATAAATAAATAAATAAACAAAAATAAAAATCAAACAAAAAAGAGTATTCCAGACAGAATGCACAGCATGTGCAAAGGCACATGGTGTGAAAGCTTGATGCTAAAAAGCTGAAAGTGGCTAATTTAGGGATGGGGTGGGGGGCAGTAAAGCAGGAGATAAGACTAGAAAGACTAAGTGGCGACCAAATCATGAGGGCTGGTAACCCACAATAAATGGTTTACACTACTAGGAGACAGTGAAGGATCTGAAACAGGGCAGGGACATAAAGACTTGCACTTTAGAAAGATCACTCTAGCAGGCCATGATGAAAATGGATTTGGAAGACGAGAGAGGTGTAAGTGAGGTAAGAAGACTATTGCAATAGAATATGAGCATTGTGAGGGCGGAGGCTACATGTGCTTTATTATAAATTTCCTTACCTTCAACATTTAGGCACTTCCCAAGCACATCCTAAGCACTCAATAGATATGGCTGACTGTTAATGGTTGAATTAACGTCTTAGAAAGTGATTAAAAACAAAAATGGTTGGGCTATGGCTAATGATACTGAGGGTGTGTCTGAGCCTACAAAACGAGACCACGAATGATGGGAGTAAGGATCGGTATTTGGGGGCAGGGGGATGGGAGCTGGTGGTGGGGTTAAGAGTAGAAAGGCAAAAAAAACAGACCAAGGCTTTCTGGTGTACAAGATGACCAACCTCGGTTCCAGGTAGCAGAAAACGTGGAGTTTTGGACACAGATCCTCCTGGCCAGAGAAGGATGCTTGAGAATCTGAGATTTACACAGCTGTATTAGGTTGTCCACGATGACCGGGCTTGAAGACAAAAAGAGACATTTGGGGACTTAAAGCAACAGGTCGACTCGAAGATCCATTAGTAGGAAATCTTCTTTACTTGGGGGAACTTACCAGTAGGTCTCTCTCTTGGGGATTTCCTCAGTGGTCTGCCAGAGACGGGCGTGAGAGATCACATTCAGAACGCACTCGTCTTGGTTCTCTATGTGGTTCCTTGGATCATCAACAAGGCTAAGCACTTTCTCGGGAAGGCCTTCTATTAACTTGGTCTTGGTGAGCCAGAGGGCCTGCTTTACACCTTTGAGGTAATTAGCCACAAAAATAAAGAAGGAAAGAAAAAGATTCAGGAAGAGATGCTTACACCTGCCAGGTAGCATCTTAGTAAAAAGGCTGCCTCAAGTGAGAAACTGGATTTGTTCTGTGACACCTGAGGGGATAGAACCAAAAGTGAAGACCAGAAGCTAAGAAAGTCAGATTTCAACTCACCTTCAGGAATGACCACCTACTTCAGGATGGTTAATAGGTGACTGAGGTGGTGAGCGCCTGCCACTAGAGGAATTCACACAGTGGCTAAGACCTCTGAGATAATATGGCTGAATGCTGCAAGCAGGGGATAGACCCTAGGCTATGGTACTAAATTGATGGATGCCAACCTTTCATTTAAGATCCTTTCTAATAACCCACACCCCAGCCCTAACTACCAAATATAGTCTATGTCTACCAAATATACCTCATTATTATTAGGTGTGGGTCTAGGCATAAGCCCATGCTGCCTTCTCAAGGGAAAGGAACCTTTGGAAATAACTGGGAATAACTTTCGGATTTTCATGAATATTTTAAGGAGCTGAACCTCTCTGGCCTTAGTATAGAAAGGTTGGGCTTTTCCTGGATACAGAACTGTTTTGTCTTTTTTTTTTTTTGAGACAAAGTCTCGCTCTGTCGCCCAGGCTGACTGGGCGACATGATGACTGAGCAGCATGATCTCGGCTCACCACAACCTCCGCTTCCCAGGTTCAAGCGATTCTCCTGCCTCAGCTTCTCAAGTAGCTGGATTACAAGCATAAACCACAGCACCCAACTAATTTTTGTATTTTTAGTAGAGACAGGGTTTCACCATGTTGTCCACGCTGGTCTCGAACTCCTGACCTGAAGTAATCTGCCTGCCTAGGCCTCCCAAAGTGCTGGGATTATAGGCATTAGCCACTGTGCCTGGCTTGTTTTGTCTTATAGACATGGTAAATTGTGTAACTGAAAATATTTTTCTGTATACCAGAGGTCAACAAACATTTTCTCAAAGGGCCAAATAGTAAATATTTTCAGCTTCTGGGTCACAGTCTCTCTCACAACTACTCAACTCTGCTAGAGCACAAAAGCAGCAATAGGCAATAATTAACAAGTGTGCATGGTTTTGTTCCAATAAAACTTCATTTATAAAAACAAGCAGCTGACCTAGTTAGCTGACCCTAGCTATGTACCATTTGTTGATTGCTAGCAAGCTCAGGGCCAGGTTTGGGGCTTCCCTTTAGAATGCAGAACCTTAGGCCGGGCATGGTGGCTCATGCCTGTAATCCCAGCACTTTGGGAGGCTGAGGTGGGCAGATCACTTGAGGTCAGGAGTTTGAGACCAGCCTGGCCAACATGGTAAAACCCCGTCTCTACTAAAAATACAAAAAAATTAGCTGGGTGTGGTGGTGCTTGCCCGAAGTCCCAGCTACCTGGGAGGCTGAGGCAGGAGAATCACTTGAACCTGGGAGGCAGAGGCTACAGTAAGCCAAGATCACGCCACTGCACTCCAGCTAGGGCAACAGAGCAAGACTCCACCTCAAAAAAAAAAAAAAAAAAAAAAAAGTAAATGAAGTAGAACCTCACATCATGAATTTTTGTTGTATTATCTGTTTTATTTTTCCTTTGTACTGATCCCCTCGCCTGTTTTTTAATTTAATCTGGTTGTGTTATAAATAAGCTGCCCAAAATACTTTGCAAGAAAAGATGGCGTATACGTAGCCAGGCCCAGTGGCTCATGCCTATAATCCCAGTAACTCAGGAGGTGGGAGGATGACTTGAGCCCAGGAGGTCAAGGCTGCAGTGAGCTGTGATCACACCATTGCACTGCAGCCTGGGTGACAGAGACCCTGTCTCTAAAATAAATAAATAAATAAAAGATGGTGTATATGCAAACTAAAATAGATTCAGTTTAGCCTGATAGTCTTTAAACATTAAAGAAACTTAGCTACTCTCAGTGGGATGGGCTGTGGTGCCAGGCAAAGACCTCCCTAGCTTCACTTTCCCCAAATTTGGCTTCTCTAAGGGAGGAACATGCATAGACCTAGGTATCTAAGTTCTGGATCAAGTAAACACACCAGTCCTCTATTTTCAAATGAAAAGTCAATACTATATTCTTCTCAATGATCATGCCCAAAAATTAACAGAAGGCTGCTGGCTGCCTTGGTTGGCAGACCACCCATCTCAGCTGGAAGAACACTTCTCTGACTCAAGGTCATATCTTCATTTGAAAATTGTGTCTGGGCCAGACACAGTGGCTCATACCTATAACCTCAGCACTCTGGGAGGCTGAAGTAGGTAGATTGCTTTGAGACCAGCCTGGCCAATGTGGTGTAACCCCATCTCTACAAAAGAAATACAAAAAATTAGCCAGGCATGACAGCATGTGCCTGTAATCCCAGCTACTTAGGAGGCTTAGGTGGAAGGATAGATTAGGCCTGGGAGGTAGAGGTTGCAGTGAGATTGTGCCACTGCACTCCAGCCTGAGTGTCAGAGCAAGATTCTGTCGAAAGAAAAAAAAAGAGAGAGAGAGAGACAGAGAGAAAGGAAGGAAGGAAAGAGACCATGTCTCGGATGGAAGGGAGCTTAAGATACTTTGGGGGAGACACCCTCAGGCAATTTCTCTTGTGGTAACAAATGAAAGGCACTAAGTACAATAAGACTTTTCACTTTAAGATCCATAAGACATCACACCAGGAATATGAATATAAATGTTTAGAAATGTAACTTTTGGGCAGGGGCAGTGGCTCACACCTATAATCCCAGCACTTTGGGAGGCCGAGGCAGGAGGATCACTTGAGTCCCAGATTTTGAGACCAGCCTGCGCAACATGGTGAGACCTCCTCTTCACAAATAATTAAAAAACTAGCCGGGAGTGGTGGCATGCGCCTGTGGTCCCAGCTACTCAGGAAGCTGAGGTGGGAGATCACTTGAACTTTGGTGGTCAAGGCTGCAGTGAGGCACGATCATGCCACTGTACTCTGGCCTGGGCAACACAGCAAGATGCTGTCTCAAAAAAAAAAAAAAAAGTAACTTCTGGATTTTGTGGTGCAGCAGAAAGAGCCCTGGACTGGGAGTCAGATAAACTAAGTTTTAGCTCTGACACCGCCACTGTTCCTTAAACTTGACAATAGATAAAATATTAAGACTTTATGTTCTATTTGCATATGAAAAATAGGTGATAATTAGAGCTGCCATTTACTGAAAGTCACCATCTACCCTGTGCCAGGAGCTTTACCTGCAAGTTAGATGGGATTTCATAAAATGAAAAATGAAACTCAGAGACTAAGGAATTTGCTCCAACTCACATACTTTGTAAGTGACAAGGCTAGGAGGAGAATCTGAGTATGTCTACCCTAAAGAACATCACCTCTCTCCATTACCCCAAATGGCTTCTCTAGCCCTGTATCCTGCAGAGTTTTATTACAGCCTACAGAACCTCTCTGTGAGCAGCAAAAACATAGGATACACAATACATTTTCAGCCTAGGCAAACGAATGTAATCTTAACGTCTAAAATACTGCTAATGCATTCATCCACTTGGTATTGTTACCAGGGTCACTCAAGGATGCCAAGTCTTGTGAGATCCTTCCCACTACCTTGTAAGGACACTGGAAGTGTTTAAAGGCTTGAAAATCAGCTTTCAGGAATGGAATTGAGAAGCTTAAGAGGCTGGCCAATTGACTTAAGTTTTCTCAAACCTAGGATTTATTCTCTGGCTTAGTCCCCCAATCTTGCCAGATTTGCCTTTTTTTTCCCCCCTAATCACTCCTTGGAAAATACTGTTTCCACTTACCTCAACCATTCTGTTTTCAAGACCTGCCCCATCCCTATCCTGATTTGAGGAAGATGGAAGAATGGAGAAAGGGATAAACAAGCTTCTCCATGGACTCTGGAAAATAATTTCTGGTACTGTTCTAGATAGACAGGCTGGTTTTGGCAAAGTCATTTTGATCTGTCCCTAGTGAGAGTGACAGAGGAGTAGTCATGGGCTTAAGAGGTGACAGGCCTGGAGATTAAACATCCTGCTGTCTCCACTATAAACTCTCTCCAACTACTTTTAAAATATACAGTTAATCTCCAGAATGTCAGACCTGGAAAGGTCAATGTGGACTGTCCAGTCAAAACCATTCACTTCCCAGGAAATAGAGGCCCAGGATGGCCAGCCATTTGCCCAAAGTCAAAGAGAGAGAGCCAGGGCTAGGCCTAGAAAGCAGCTCTTTTCATGCTGACACGCAAACTCTCTATTACTCCTGCACAGAGGCCCAGCTCCTTACAACTCAATTCTAACAACCCTCAGAAGACGGGAATCACTACGGCCCCATTTCGCAGACGAAGAAACCAAGACCCACAGAGTTTCAATGTCTTGCCCAAAGCCACAGAGGGTCGGGGTCGGTGCTGGTTAGAGGAACACGGTCCCTTGCCGCCCGTCCTGGGGCCTCACCCTCGAGAAGGCGGCAACGGTGGTGAAAGATATAGCAGGCCTGGTCTTTGTACAGCGGATGCTCGTGAAGAGGGGGCGAGCGGTAGAACCTTGGGTCCTTGTAGCCGCGGTCCCAGGGCGGAAAGATCGGCCGCGCCAGCCAGGGCACGAAGTGCATCTTCCCCGCAAAGGTGATGGGCTCCAGTCCAGGGATCTCGTACACCCTATCCAGGGGAGGAGGCTCCGACTTCCGCGTGGAGCGCACGCCCCACTCATACGCCCCGCGTCTCGGGGCCCCGAAGCCCCCAAGGCCGAGCTGCCCGGAGCCAGCTAGCGCCCGCCTTGCGGGCCCGGACGCCAATGCCATACCGATCTGATAGCCTCAAGACCTCCACCTGGACCCCGCCATGTTGCCGCGCGCAGGGCCTGCTGGGAACGAATGAGACCGGGCGCCAAAGCTCGTTTTGGGAATGGCAGCCAATTCAACCAATCACAGTCAGGATATTCTTGTCTTGCACCGGCCCCCAACCCATTCTCATTTTCTTATAGGTGATACCTGCTAAGCGCTCCCCGCCTACCCAGAGACTGGGAGGAACCTGGAAAATCCTCACGTGAGGTGAAGCGCAGGCGAGTAGGTGAGTGGTCGTGGTGGGTGGAGAATCGCTCCAGGACTTCAGACCTGGACTTAGACAAGGTTGACTGCTTATGAGCAGTTGGAGCTTGGGAAGGCACTTCCCTTTCTGAGGCCCAGTGTCCCTCGCTGTAAAAATAGGGATAGAAATGCCTAAGCTGTTGCACCTGTACAGCGCGCTGCTGCGAGCGCCTCTGTCGCTCTGTCCCTCTCCTGAGCGTGAGAGTGTCCCCCAAGCCAGCTCTGAGCGTGACTGCTCACTGTACACCTCTTCCCCAGCGCCAAAAGCGAGCCACTTTCCTCGCTTTTCCTTTCCCTCTGGATTTCCCAATTCGCCTCCTAGAAGCAAGGACAGAGCAATGAAGATGCGCCTTTGCTCCTTGCTCAACACCTGTCTGTCAGCTGCCTGCTGTGTGTCAGGCGCTGCGCTGAGCCCCGGTTGGCATTGGTAAATAAGACAGATGGGAGATGTAGAGCTTACAGTTTAGTGGGAGATGCAGACAGAACGCAGGTAAACAACGCGAACAAATAAGTCAACTGCGATACACACACTTCCTATCCCTTTTCCGTAGTTATTTTTCTCTTTAGCATTTCACACTACCGTACCATCTGTTTTCCATCCTGATCTTGCTTAATAACTGTTTCTCACCCTAAGATATGAGCTCAGTGAGTGCAAGGGTTTCTGTTTCTTCACTGCTATATCCCCAGCACTGAGAACAGTGCCTGGCACATAGTAAATATGTTTAGTGAATGCGTGTATAACAGAAACAAATAGAGTGCCTTATAGAGAATGAGTAGGGGAAGGTTCAGGGAGGACCTCAGAAGGGAGGTGACCTTTAAAACCAAGGCCTGCGGGGTGGGAAAAGTCATCCAGCCTGAGGCAACATGTGTCAAGGCCTGGATTAAAGGTGGTGCCTCTTGAACTGAAAAGATAGAGCTCAGAGGACGCATGAACCAACTCTTTAAAATTCATGACTGACGTGGCCAACTTTTCTGCTAATTTCCAAAATAGCAGAGAAAGTGGGACTGTTAAAACGTGGAGAAGTCCTACAGTCATCGTTCACACCTGTAATCCCAACACTTTGGGAGACCTAGGTGGGAGGGGCCACTTGAGGCCAGGAGTTTGAGATCAGCCTGGGCAACATGGTGAGACCTCCTCTCTAAAAATAATAAAAAAAAAATTAGCGAGGCGTGATGGCACGCACCTATAGATCTAGGTACTCAGGAGGCTGAGATGGGAGGATCACTTGGGCCTCGGAGATCGAGTCTGCAGTGAGCTGTGATCCTACCACTGCACTCCAACCTGGGCAACACAGCAAGACCCTGTCTCAAAAAAAAAAAAAAAAAAAGGCCGGGCATGGTGGCTCACGCCTATAATCCCAGCACTTTGGGAGGCCGAGGCAGGTGGATCACGAGGTCAGGAGATCAGACCATCCTGGCTAACACAGTGAAACCCCGTCTCTACTAAAAATACAAAAAATTAGCTGGGCGTGGTGGCGGGCGCCTGTAGTCCCAGCTACTCGGGAGGCTGAGGCAAGAGAATGATGTGAACCCGGGAGGCAGAGCTGGCAGTGAGCTGAGATTGCGCCACTGCACTCCAGCCTGGGCAACAGAGCGAGACTCTTGTCTCAAAAAAAAAAAAAAGAAAGAAAGAAAAGAAATCAGCATAAAGAGGGAACCAGACCTCATTCACTCATAATGCATACCTGGTCCATAGCATGCAATAAAAATGAATTGGGTTGATCTAACACCTTGTAGTCTATGAGGCTCTGTGAAGGTAGGAACAATGACCTGTTTACCTCTGTTGCCTCCCAACACCTAGCTCCCAGATTGTATCTGTAAACTGAATGAGCAGTCATAGGGAACCTTCCATATGCCCGGCTGTGCTTGGTGGTAGAATACAGAAAGAATAAGATACCACCCTTTTTTTTTTTTTTTTTTTTTTTTTTTTTGAGACAGAGTCTCACTCTGTCACCCAGGCTGGAGTGCAGTGGCGCAATCTCAGCTCACTGCAGCCTCCGCCTCCTGGGTTCACGCCATTCTCCTGCCTCAGCCTCCCGAGTAGCTGGGACTACGGGTGCCCACCACCATGCCCGGCTAATTTTTTTGTTTTTGTATTTTTAGCAGAGACGGGGTTTCACCGTGTTAGCCAGGATGGTCTTGATCTCCTGACCTCGTGATCCACCCACCTTGGCCTCCCAAAGTGCTGGGATTACAGGAATGAGCCACCGCACCCAGCCAAGGCAGAGGAGATTCTTAAATTTAGGAAAGGGGCCAGATTGTCCCTAACAACTGAGAGTGAGAAAACCCTAGCCAGTCAAACAGCCTCACTGAAGTCGGATTAGCATATATGCTACATGTAGACGTAGGTAGCAAGAGGAAAACAAACTCACATCTGACTCATCAGCAAGCCAGCCATTGTGAACATGCATAGATGCCCTTCACAGAGGTCCCCACAGGAGGACCTGTCTCTACTCAAAATATAAAACCTAGCCGGGCATTGTGTTGGGCGCCTGTTTTCCCAGCTACTTGGGTGGCTGAAGCAGGAGAATCACTTGAGCCCAGGAGGCAGAGGTTGCAGTGAGTCAAGATCATGCTACTGTACTCCAACCTGGCAACCTGGGCAACAGAGTGAGACTCTGTCTCAAAAAAAAAAAAAAAAGAAAAGAAAAGAAAAAGAAAAGTGTTTATGAGCAGCTTTTATGAGCAGGGATGGACCAAGTGCATGGAGTGCTCACAGGAGGGAGTGAAGCCAGGCAGGCCTTCACCTGCACCTGTTTTTCTCTCTTCACTGTCCCTCCATCTCCAGACTCATATCTAGACTTGTTTAATCCAACTCACAACTGGATTTTGTACTTGGATGCTCCACAGGCACTCAGCATACCTGAAACCAAACTCTCTTCTTCTTTCCCTTAAAACTCAACTTCTTCTTGAGCCTTCTGTCTACCCAAAACCCAAGCCAGATCCGAGGGGTTGGATGTCCCTTCTACCCCTCTGTCCCCCCACACTCCCTCACATCTAGTCAGTCTCAGTGTTCTGTTAATTTCCTCTTCAGTATTTCTCTCATTGACCCCTGTCTTCTCATTCTGCCTGAAGCTGCAGGTCTCAGTCCTCATATCATCTCACCTGGACCATCACAACCTTCTTCTGTTTCCTGTGATTGAAGAACGATATGTTTTGAAACCAGACATGCCAGAGTTAAAACCCTGGTTGCCACCATTTTAGAAGCTGTATGAAACTCTGGGCAAAGCTGAACTGTAGTGGTTAGGATTGCAAACAAAGGTGGCAAAACTAGGGGAAAAAGGAAATAATTATCACCTGGGGAAGTGCAGTTATCAGGAAGGGACACAGGTGGCTTCTGGAATGCTGGCAAGATTCTTTTTACTTGACTGAGTAGTAGTTACACAGGTGTTCTTTTGTATTTTTAATTAATTTTTTGTAATTGAGTTGTAGGTATATATTTTACTTTATCATTTAAAACATTTTAGGGCCAGACATGGTGGCTCATGCCTGTAATCTCAGCACTTTGGGAGACTGAGATGAGAAGATCACTTGAGGCCAGGAGTTCGAGACCAGACTGGCAACATAGTGAGACCCTGTCTCTACAAAATGTAAGTAAAAAAAATTAGCCAGGTATGGTGGTGCACACCTGTAGTCTCAGCTACTCGGGAGACTGAGGCAGGAGGATTGCTTGAGCCCAGGAGGTTGAGGCTGCAGTGAGCTGTGATCATGCCACTGCTCTCCAGCCTGGGCAACAGAGTGAGACCTCATCTCAGCAAAACAAAACAAAACAAAAAATATCTTTTAAAATTCAATGAGACTTTTCTGTATAAAGTGTCAGCTGGCACTCAGAGCACAGGAACAGATCAGGAAACCTTGGTTACCAGCTCTGATTGTTATGTCCTTTCTTCCATATGCCAAGCTATGCTTGGTGATAGAATACAAAAGGAATAAGACACCCTCCTGTGCTCAAGGGGGTCCCACCCTGCTAAACCTTCCTGAAGTCATAGAGCTTATGAGTAGTAGAACCAGGTTTCCTGAAGCCAAACCCTTTCCTCTAGTAAAGAAAGATTCACTTCACACGAGGGATTGTCCTTCTAAAACCAATGATAGTAAGTGGTTAATGCTCCCCACCAGACAGCACACTCCTTGGCTGATCCATCTCCATCCCCAGTGCTTGCACAGAGCCTGGCACCTGCAGGCTTTGGAGAATGTGAGGAATAGAGGAGACCAGAGAATAACCCCCATGTTTTCCCTCTCCCAGGCTGGCCAAGGAGCAGGGCCTGCGCCCGTGGTCTCATAGAGCCTGGCCTGTTCTGGAAGAGCACCCAGTTGTTCCTTCTAGGCTGCCCAAGCCCCACTGATGATGGCTGAGAGGGAAGAGGACGACGACACTGAGGAAGCCTGGATGCAGCTACGGCCCACAGAACCCTTGCCTTCCCAGTGCTGCGGCAGTGGCTGCTCACCCTGTGTGTTTGACCTCTATCACCGAGATCTGGCAAGGTGGGAGGCAGCCCAAGCCAGCAAGGACAGGAGCCTGCTGCGTGGGCCAGAGTCACAGGTGAGAGAGGCTGCTTCTCGATATGAGCACCAGGGCAACAATCTACTTGCCTTGGCCCTGCAAAGCACACCTCTAGGAAGCCTTCCCTGACTGTACAGCAGAAGAAAAGAGTATGCATAACAGAAGCAAACAGATCTAGGCTCAAAGCCCAGCCCTGAAGCAAACTTATTAGCAGCTGTGTGATTTGAGGCAGAGTTTAAGCCTTAGTTTCCCCATCTGTAAAATGAGGCTCAATGTTTGTGATGTGTAGCACAGAGCTTGACATCCATTTCACTTAACTATATTTATTGAGTACCTATTATATACCAGGCCCTGTGAAATAGTGAGGATTTGAGAGTGAGCATGACAGACACAGTCCTTGTCCTTATGGACTAAACTAGCTATAGTTTATTCTAGGTAAATAAAGGATGTTAGGGCTGATATTTCTTCTTCTCTGGCCCTTACTGACTTCTTCCTCCTTAACTCCTCCGGGACTTCATAGTCTGGACTAAGCAGTTTAGCCCTTTATTGTAATGTTTGGAAGGGTTCACAGTTATAGATGTCAGAACACTGGACTTCACCCCCTGTATAACACAGATAGGGAAACTGAGGACCTATTCCTTCTGACACTGTGCATAGGTTTTGTTTTGAATCTGTCCCTGTCTTGGTCTCCCGCATCTGAACAGTCTTCCCATTTTCTGTGTCCCTCCTGACTAATGTGGAGTAGAGGTGTCTCCCATTTCTACCTCTCTCAATGCCATCTGGCATCGTAATCACTTTTTTTTTTCTTTTTTGTAGAGATGGAATCTTGCTATGTTGCCAGGGCTGGTCTCGAACTCTTGGTCTCAAGTGATCCTCCCGCCTCAGCCTCCCAAAGAGATGGGATTACAGGCGTAAGCCACCTTGCCTGGCCATCATCACTTTTTGACCAACCATTCCCCATTCTTGTGGCTCAAACTAGACCAAAGCTTAGTCATTTTTACACGTGTTGTTCTTAAGCTATAGATCATACATCCTGAACAAATGCAGTTGTTTTTCTTATCTTTTCTTTTCCTTTCTTTTTTTTTTTGAGATGGAGTTTTGCTCTTGTTGCCCAGGCTGGGGTGCAGTGGCGCTATCTTGGTTCACTGCAACCTCCGCCTCCCAGGTTCAAGCGATTCTCCTGCCTCAGCCTTCCAAGTAGCTGGGATTACAGGCATGTGCCACCACACCTGACTAATTTTATGTTTTTAGTACAGATGGGGTTTCACCATGTTGGCCAGGCTGGTCTTGAACTCCTGAACTTAGGTGATCCACCTGCCTCAGCCTCCCAAAGTACTGGGATTAGAGGCGTGAGCCACCACACCTGGCCTTGCAGTTGTTTCTCTGAACCCCAAAACAACATGACATTATTATTATTATTATTATTATCATTATTATTATTATTATTATTATTGAGGAAGAGTCTCACTTATTATTATTATTATTATTGAGGCAGAGTCTCACTCCATCACCCAGGCTGGAGTACAGTGGCATGATCTCAGCTCACTGAAACCTCTGCCTCCCAAGTTCAAGCAATTCTCCTGCCTCAGCCTCCTGAGTACCTGGGATTACAGGCACCTACCACCACGCCCGGCTAATTTTTTTTTGCATTTTTAGCAGAGACAGGGTTTTACCACGTTGGTCTCGAACTCCTGACCTCAACTGATCCACCTGCCTCAGCCTCTCAAAGTAGTGGGATTATAGGTGTGAGCCACTGTACCTGGCCATATTTTTGCTTTTTATAAAGATAGAGATGGGGTCTTGCAATATTGCCCAGGCTGGGCTCAAACTCCTGGGCTTAAGCAAACCTCCCCTCTTGGCCTCCCAAAGTGCTTGCTGGGATTACAGGCATGCATGACTTTATATTTAGTGTCTCCTTGTATTTCTGCCACTGGAAGTTGGTGATGGGGACTAGAGTGCTCTGGCTTCTGCCAGTGACTGGGGAATGTTCGTGACAACCTCTGTTTCTTTCTTCTCACTGCCCTCCATCTCCACATGGCTCACCCCTTCACTTCTTTCTGATCTCTGCCCAAATTTCATTTCTCTTCCTAACTCAGGACTACCAGACACCATCTAGATGTACTCTTATGTGTATATCGTCCATCTTCTTGCCAAAATATCAGTTCTGGAAGAGAAGGGGCCTCTGTCTTTCTCACTGTTCTATCCTCAGCACCTTGAGTAGTTCCTGGCATTACAGTTGGCACTCATTAAATATTTGCAGATGAATGAATGTGTTTCTCCAAGATCTACTAAGTACCATATCCTGTGTGCTAGGCACAAGGAGGTTGGTAATAAAGATGCCAGGGTACCAGTGCTGAAAAAACTCAGCTTACAGAAGGGGGATAAAGAATCACAGGGTTACTTGGCCAGGCACGGTGGCTTATGCCTGTAATCCCAGCACTTTGGGAGGCCAAGGCAGGTGGATCACCTAAGCTCAGGAGTTCAAGACCAGCCTGGCCAACATGGTGAAACCCTGTCTCTACTACAAATATAAAAATTAGCCAGACGTGGTGGCACGCACCTGTAGTCCCAGCTACTTGGGAGGCTGAGGCATGAGAATTGTTTGAACCAGGAGGTGGAGGTTGCATTGAGCCCAAATTGTACCACTGCACTTCAGCCTGGGCGACACAGCAACACTCTGTCTCAAAAAAAAAAAAAGAAACACAGGGTAGTGATAGAAAGACTCACTAAGGAACTGAGGCCCGGTTCTGCCAGTTAATTGTATGATGTTGGGCATGTCATTTTAGTGTGCTAAACCTCAGTTTTCTCATCTGAAAAACTGGGATGTTAATACTTTATAGGTTGTTATGAGAATTTCATGGGATGAATATGTAAAGCACCTGGCACATGGTAGATGCTCAGTAAATAGTAGCTGTCATCACCTATTATAACACTGGAAATTTAAATGATACCACATTTAAAGTTGCAAACAGAGGTCCAGCGTGGTGCCTCACACCTGTAATCCCAGCACTTTGAGAGGCCAAAGTGGGCGGATCACCTGAGGTCAGGAGTTCAAGACCAGCCTGGCCAACATGGTGAAACCACATCACTACTAAAAGTACAAAAATTAGCTGGGTGTGGTGGCACATGTCTGTGATCCCAGTTACCTGGGAGGCTGAGGCACGAGAATCACTTGAATCCGGGAGGCAGAGATTGTAGTGAGCCGAGATCACACCACTGCACTCCAGCCTGGGCAACAGAGCGAGACTCTATCTCAAAAAAAAAAAAAAAAAAAAATTTGCAAACAGATGGATGCAAACAAACACATTTTGTCAGTCCTATAAAATAGCATATTCCAATTTTTTTAACTTTTAATGAAGCAATAATAATAGGAAAAGATTTTACATTTCCATGGTAACTTATATTTTATAAAATGCTTTTTACATTGTATCTCATCTGACCCTCATGGTAACCCTATAAAGTTATCAGGGATGAGTGGCCCTTTTTATAGACTAGGAAACTGAGACCCAGAGGATCAATTGATATGCTGAAGGCCCCACAGGGAGGCAGCAGCTGAGCTGGGGCTAAACCCAGTTCTCCCGACTCCCAGTCCAGTGTTCTTTCCAAAGCACCAGGCAGTTGTGCCAGAGAGTACCCAGGTACTCTGGCTGATGATGAAGAGGTCATCCTGGATGGTGGGTGTGGGAAGGGGCACAGTGGAGACAAGGCCTTGAATGCCAAGCCCAAGAATTTCTGTCAGCTCAGTGATACTGTCAGCACTACCATGGGTAACTGGGGTTCCAGAGTTGGTGCTGCAGGATGGTGCAGGCCCTAAGCTGGGATTGAGGGGTCCCAGGAGTAAATGGAGTATTTTACAGGAAAGAAAGATCTGTGAGTCACAGCATTCAGAGAAGGCTTCCTGGAGGAGATGCAGGTTGGGGTGGAATGTTAAAGGCAGTGGGCTGAGACTTAGACATGAATTTGAATTTTTGTCTACAGTGTGATTGTGGACAAGTAAGCCAGCATGACTCAACTCAGGCCTCAGTTTCCACATATGTAATACACAGATATTGGGTTAGACATTCTGAGGTCCCATCAACTTATAAATTATGCAAATCTGGATTTTAGCAGCTTTGAAGAATGGGTATGTCTTTTACACATTGGAGATGAATGTTCTGGATAAGAGGGCACTGCTTGAGCAAATAAAGACTCAGAAGTAGGAGGCAGCAGGGTGTTCTTGGGAGGACAAAGAAAAGTCTGGCATTAGATGCCTGGGAGATAAAATGAGGCATGAGGGTCGTCCACAGGGCCTTTGAGTGGGCAGCTAAGGAAGGAGCCCGCATTTTACCCTGGAGCTGAGGGGAGCCATGGAAGGCTTAAGAGCAGGATAGGCTCAAAGGAAAGCGCTCTGGCATTCTTAGATCCAATTTTGAAAGGGAAGTAAGGTGAGGCTAGTGTCCAGTTTACAGGAAACTTCCCGAGCCAAGACAGCCTCTCCTTGGGGACAGTGGGAAGGATGCTATGGATGCCTGTGTGTCTGTGGAGCCCCGGCCTCTAGCTGTTGGATCTCTTCCTGTTGCAGAGCTGCCCCTCCAAGCTGAACCCAGAGACCTTCGTGGCCTTCTGCATCATTGCCATGGACAGGCTCACTAAGGACACCTACCGTGTCCGGTTTGCTCTACCCGGGAACAGCCAGCTTGGCCTGCGGCCCGGCCAGCACCTCATCCTACGGTACACTCAGGTAGCGGGAGGACCAAAGCTTCACAGCCCTGCTTTGCTATTTGCTAGCTGCTGGCCTTGACCAACTAGCGTACTCTCCCTTAAGCCTCCATTTGTCATCTTCAAGATAGACATAGTGACACATGACTCAGAGAGTTCTTGGGATTGAACTAGATAATGCATTTTCATAATAAATAATAACACAATCACTTTAATAGCATTTACTATCCAAGGCACAGTTCTGGGTGCTTATAGGCATGAAATCATTTAACCCTCACAAAATCCTGTGTGGTAGGTGCAGTTATACCCCAGAGGAAATTGAAGTAAGAGAGGTCCAGAAACTTGCCAAGGTCACACAGTTAGGAAATGTTGGAGCCAGGATTTGAAGGCAAGCAATGTGGCTTTAGAGCTTGTGGTATGAACCTAATATGATTAGTACCAATTGATAGAATTGAGAATAAAGGGCTTGCCCAGCACTACATAGCTAATAAGTCACGGAGCCAGGATTTAAACCCAGACAGCCTGGCTCCTGAGTTACGCTCTTTACCACTCCTCTGAGGTTCCTACTTCCTCCCAGCCTACTTAGGCACTCTACTCCCACCCCAGTCCCCACCCCTGCCTGCCCAGAGACAAGACCCTTTGGGATGTCCAGGTAGAGCTGTCTGCCAGGCTGTTGGCTCTGTGAATCTGAGGCTCAGTAGAGAGATCTGAGCTGCAGGCATGGGTTTGGGAGTCATTGGCACATAGCTGAGTGGCATTTGGGAAAATGTGTGCATGGAAAGAGAAAGGCGCACAGGACCAAACCCTGGAAACACCAGCATCTACGGTATTGGCAAGAGGAGGAGGAGCCAGCAAAGGAAGCAAGGTGCGGCCAGAGGAGAAGGTGGAAACCAGAAGAGCACTCACTGCTGCTCAGACTCTGGCCACTTGCTTCACACTGGCCCCTGGTGTTTGTGCCCAGCTCCTTCTGGCCTGTGACCTGGCCAGCAGTCCTAGAAGTTCACTATCCCAGTGGGCAGGAGGGGCCACAGGGCAGGTCATGGCCCCAGGCATCCTTCCATCCATGAACCAGAATGCTCAGAACTCCCTGCCTCCAGGCTGGCTCCCCTCCTTCACCCTCTCTGTCCCTGCGGTGACATCCCTAACACACATATCTGACCATGTCACTGTGGGGTGCAGCATGGAGGCAATGTAGCACCCCAGAAGGTATCTGAGGTACCACATCGCCTCCGTAATGATGTCCTAACCCAAGGCCCCAGCTTGCTTTCCCACCATGTTCTTCTCCCTTTGCCAACCCACCCCTGCCCTGGTCTCAGCCTCCTGCTCCACGCCCCATTCCCACCACCCTTCCTGTCCCGATTTGCCCTTGTCAGTGGCTGGCCTATCCTGCAGCACCCACCTCCAGGAGGTTTCCTAGGCTCCCAGAGGAGACTGCGCACTCCCTCTAAAACATACCAGTTTTACCTCTGTTGCAGCAGACGTCATAGTGCTCTGCAGCCAAGCCATGCTCTGTGCTCTGTTCCTTAGGTCCCCATTTGTTTCATATGCATTTATTTATTTATTTATTTATATTTTTTGAGACAGAGTCTCACTCTGTCACCCAGGTTGGAGTGCAGTGGCATGATCTCAGCTCACTGCAACCTCCGCCTCCCAGGTTCAAGTGATTCTCCTGCCTCAGTCTCCCAAGTAACTGGGACTACAGGCATGCACCACCATGCCCAGCTAATTTTTGTATATTTAGTAGAGATGGGGTTTCACCATGTTGACCAGGATGGTCTCGATCTCTTGACCTCGTGATCCGCCCACTTTGGCCTCCCAGAGTGCTGGGATTATAGACGTGAGCCACCACGCCCAGCCTCATATGCATTTATTAAATATTTCTGTCCAGCCCTCTCATGCTTTTGGTGCATTGAGACAGGGCCTTATTTAATCTTTGCATACCTCAGAGAAGAAAGTTTTGTACGTAGTAGGACTTGAGAGAAGACTGCTTAGGGAAGCTTCTGGGAAGCTCTGAAGAACAGTGGTGAGGAACCCAGCTCTGAAGTTAGAGCTGTGATTGAATTTGAGCTGTGCAAGTGACTTCCCTTCTCTAAGCACTGGATTCCTCATTTGGATTGTTGTTTGAGTTAAATGAGATAATGCATATGAAATGCTTGATACATGTATGCATTTAATACACCATGGCTATTACTGTGACTCATGGTGGTTATCCTGACCCTGTTTTTGGTAACATGGAGAGGATTCATGCATGAGACAGGGCTTTAGACCAGGGCCCTTTGAGGATCCTTCCAGTCCTAATGCTTCTGTCAGGTGCTAGTAAGTGTTTAATAAATGTTAGCAGTTGTTTTAGTCTTTATCACTCTGTGGTCGGGAAGAGGTCAGGAAAAATGACAGTCATGTCTCCAAAACAACTCACATCCTCAGTGCACTTTTTGAAACACTCTCCCATCTGTAGTCCCAGAGGAGCCACACAACTGGAATGCAGATAGCTGTCCCCATTTTACAAAAGGGGCCACGGGGCATGAGATGATCTACTGGGATCTCACAGCCAGCACGTGGCAGTGGATGAGCCCAGTACTCTTTTTTTTCTGTTGCATCTTGCCTGCCTCTCAGTGAGGACCTTTATTTTCACCAGCCTGGCAGAGGAGTTACCTCATAAGGATTTGCAGTTGTTTGTTTGTTTGAGACAGAGTCTTGCTCTATTTGCCCAGGCTGGAGTGCAGTAGCATGATCTCAGCTCACTGAAACCTCCACCTCCCGGGTTCAAGTGATTCATGTGACTCAGCCTCCCAGGTAGCTGAGACTACAGGCGTGAGCCACCACACCCAGCTAAATTTTTGTACTTTTAGTAGTGACGGGTTTCACTATGTTGTCCAGGCTGGTCTCAAACTCCTGACCTCAAGTGATCAGCCCACCTCGGCCTCCCAAAGTGTGGGGATTACAGACATGAGCCACCGTGCCCAGCCTTAAAAGGGTTTGCTGAATGACTGGCTGACTGACTGCACACTTCTGTTTCTCAGAGGGATAGTAGATGACTTAGAAATTCAGAGAGCCTATACGCCCATCAGCCCTGCCAACGCAGAAGGATACTTTGAAGTGTTAATTAAGGTGAGTTGACCCTTGAGGATGCTCCAAGATGCCGTGGAGAAGCTATGGGTCTAAGAATGGAGAGCTAAAGGGAAAATGTGGGAAGGAAACTCAGTGCTGGGAACAACATGGACAAAGGCAATTGGGGAAGTAAGTCCTTTGTCCTGGAACAGAAGGAAGGAGTGCCAAGGGAGCAGGATGCAATCTGAGAGGATTAGGCAAGAGGTAGGACA
The DNA here is from genome assembly GCF_000001405.40 of Homo sapiens. Taxonomy (NCBI): domain Eukaryota; kingdom Metazoa; phylum Chordata; class Mammalia; order Primates; family Hominidae; genus Homo; species Homo sapiens. The sequence continues at coordinate 54,187,439 of NC_000001.11, read as the reverse complement.
TGGAGGAGCTTATAGACAGGACTAACCTAACATCACCTCTTAGGGGAGGTGGGCAGAACCGGGGCATTTGAGTTGGACCTTGAAGAAGGAGTACAAATTGGCAGTGGCCGTAAATGGCATTCTAGGCTGAGGGGATGGTTAACCAAAGGTTGGGAGGGGTGAAATAGAACAAGTCTTCTAGGAACTATACCCAGCCTGAGAGCCAGGAGGAGAGGGTGCTGGTGGAGAAGGCAGGGTGGATGGAGGAATTGGCAGATATGAGATGAACAAAGTAGGTTGGATGCAAAACACCCTGGAGACCCAAGGAATAGGAAACAAATATATAAGAAGTTGTGGAGGCCCAATTATGTGGAAAGAATAATTAGGTTGAGCTACATGAAATTGCTGATATTCTAACTTTTTTGACTTAAAGAAACATCAGCTTCATGTGGGTCAACCTAATACACAGCTCTAGATCATCATTTCCCAAATGGAATCATTACGAATATTTAAGAATAGTGTTCACATCCTTAATCTATGTTATAAGACATGACTTATTATCTATATTGCATTGATAAGTAAACGGAGTCCCCCAGAGGTCCCAAGGCCCCACAGCTAGTAAGAAGTGCTGCTAGTAGGTGAGTCCTGCCCCCTGACACCGAGACCTCAGCACTGCCTCCAGCTCCCGCCTTCCTACCTGCCGTCTGAGCCCGAGTGTTTATTCCTCCACACATAAGCTTGGATGGGATCCCTTCTTCATGCAACTGTTTGTCTGGGAGATTCCACAAATCCTCTCCAAATGGCCTGCTTCCCCAGGCTGCTTGTCGGGGTGTGTTTCTGTGGAAAGGATAAGCCTGGAGACAGTTCTTCAGGGCAGCTGGATCTCTCCCAGCTGCAAGGCTGATTTTCTCCTTCGTTTGCTAGAAAGCCTCTCTTTAGAGAGATGCTTAATTATCTCTAAGCCACTGGCTAGGAAAAGCCAGAAATGTCTTTGCAAATTGGGAAGGCAGGCAGGGCTTATCGTTTGACCCTCCCAAGTAGAAGGGAAGGAGAAGCTCCCATTTCTCAGACACCTTCTGGGCACCAGGTACTGCCTCTGTCTCTTTATTCTAATTATCTCATTTCAACCTCATAACCAACCTATAGAGTAGGTCATATTATTCCCATTTTACAGATGAAGAAACTGAAGCTCAAAAAGATGACATCATTTGTCTCAAGGCCTCTTGGGTAATATGATCCAAATGGAAGGACAAAAGTTCAGTGTCAGTTCTGTTTAACAAGTATGTATTAAACATTTACTCTGTGCCAGGCTCTGTGTGGGTATGTATTAGTCCGTTTTCACGCTGCTGATAAGGACATACCTGAGAATGGGCAATTTATGAAAGAAAGGGGTTTAATGGACTCACAGTTCCACATGGCTGGGGAGGCCTCACAATCATGGCAGAAGGTGAAAGGCATATCTCACATGGCGGCAGACAAGAAGAGAGCTTGTGCGGGGAAACTCTTCTTTGTAAAACCATCAGATCTCATGAGACTTATTCACTATCACAAGAACAGCATGGGAAAGACCTGCCCCCATGATTCATTTACCTCCCACTGGGTCCCTCCCACAACACATGGGAATTCAAGATGAGATTTGGGTGGGGACACAGCCAAACCATATCAGGGTACTAAAGACAACATGGAAGAATCCTTCCCTTCTTCTTGGGTGCTGTCAAGGCCACAGCTGGGGTCATGCCTCCCCCTAGATAGGGGCCAGAAAACAAAGCGTGCATGGAGACAGCCTCCAGCAAGGCAGGAGAAAAACCTCACCTTTCCTACTAGACCCCTTCCAGTTGAGCCAGGGACTTCCGTTGCCTTGTGCAGGTGGTGCCCAAGGAAGTCAGGGATGATATCAGAGATGGCCATGGGTGCTTAAAAACAGGTCTGGGGACCAAAGCCCTTTCTCTGTGTTAAGCCTGGCTATAATCTTACTCCAAACACCCTTCCAGTCCTGTCTCCCAGTGCTTCGCCCTCACCCTCACCCTACCATGTTCACTTGCTATTCCCAAAACATGACCCAGATTGTCCTACCCCTGACCATACTACACCTGATGTCCAGAGTCCTCTCTGCACCCCTGCTCCCATCCCCAGTGAATTCCATCTTGCCCATCTTTCAAGGTCCAACTCAAATGCTTCCTCCCCCAGGAAGCCATCCTCGATCCCATCCATGGAAGTGGCTGCAGCCTTCTCAGGTTTATTCCTAGTTTATTCTTCTCATGGGTATTAGATGGTCTCTACCTTGTATATGTCTGAGACTTAGGTCCCTTCTAGATTGTAAGCTCCTTAAGGGGAGAGCCTGAATCTGGATTGATTGATTGATTCATTCATTCAGGTATTTATTAAGTTACTTCCATGGTTCAGGCACTGGCTGCCTTCATGGAGCTTAAGATCTAGCTGTCTTGCCTGCATCCTCAACATGGTGCCTGGCACAGAGTGGACAGGCACCCAGGCAATATAGACTCCCTTCTCCATGGAGGAATCACTTCTGTAACCTTCATTTTTCATCCAGCCAGGAGATGGTGTAGGATAATGCAGAGACTGCAGATGGGTGGCCTGAATCTAGCCCATAGATGTATTTGGTATTGGCCAGCATAGAGTTTTAAAATTTTGAATTAATTGCAGACATTTCAAAAATGGGAGATTTTAAATAAAAATATGGATTTCGTGCCTCTTTTGGAAAATCAATAGATTTGGCCAATTAGGCCCCACAAACTATGGACTGAAACCTGCAAACTGGCTTCCCTCCTTAGAAGGAGCACTCGCTCACCAATTTATCATAGTCCCCATCACTCCCTATTGTCTCCCTGATGCTGAGACTGTGTGTTAATTGCCATTAATCATCACCCAGTTCTTCACTCATTTATGGTACCTGCATGGTCCCTGTGGGCATTTGGGTTTGGGACCTCTATGCTGAAGGCTTTAGGTCCTATGGATTCTCATCCCAGCCTCCTGTCTGCCTTCTGTGTAAGCTTCTGGGCCTCATCTGAAAATTGGGAATGGCTGTACCAACTTTGTAGGATAAGGAGGACGATTAAATGAGATAACACATGTGAAGCACTTAGCATACAGAACGGGCTCCACATTAATGGTTAATCTGGTTTGTGTTGGCAGCATGTACCTGTCCCGCTGACGTCTCCCTGTGTTTGCTTCCAGTGCTACCAGATGGGGCTGATGTCCCGGTATGTTGAGTCCTGGAGAGTAGGAGACACAGCTTTCTGGCGAGGACCTTTCGGAGATTTCTTCTATAAACCAAACCAGGTCAGTGCCAGCACCTTAAATCTTCAGGAGATCCCTGTTGACTGTGGTTTTCATGTTTCGGCCCATAGCATCTCACTGTGCCATTCTCCTTGAGCTCAAACACAATCCCAGGTGTATCCTTGGGGTTGGACATGGGAGAAGATGGAATAGACACTTATTTATTTATTTATTTATTTATTTATTTAGAGACGGAGTTTCGCTCTTGTTGCCCAGGCTGGAGTGCAGTGACGCGATCTCGGCTCACCGCAACCTCCACCTCCCAGGTTCAAGCGATTCTCCTGCCTCAGCCTCCCAAGTAGCTGAGATTACAGGCATGTGCCACCACACCCGGCTAATTTTGTATTTTTAGTAGATACAGGGTTTCTCCATGTTGGTCAGGCTGGTCATGAACTCCCAACCTCAGGTGATCTGCCCGCCTCAGCCTCCCAAAGTGCTGGGGTTACAGGCGTGAGCCACCGCGCCCAGCCAGAGTAGACACTTATAAATGAAACTGCCTGCCCAGCTCCAAAGCTACCCAGGGCGGCCATTGCTTAGAACATCAGACCCTTGTACTTGACGTTTAGGAGCCCTTATGCCCTCTGACCCTCAGGCGCCTTTCCAATTTCACAGTACAGTCACATGACTAAATATGCCCCATGGCTTCCTGCTTCCTAGCTCAGATGGCTCTTCTCCTCATCATCCTGGCATTTTTAAACCCTTCCCCGACTTTCCCAGTAAGAATTCGTAATTTCTCATCAGTTGGTGCATATCTGGAAAGCATTTTGACAGTATGTACCAAGAGTCTTCAAATCCTTGGCCCCAGTAATTCCACTTATGGAAGTCCGTCCTATAGAATGAATCAAAATGCTGGCTCTTCTGCGTATGTTCATTGCATCTTTATTTATAATAGCAGAAAATTGGAAACAACCGAATATCCAACAGCAGGGGAACAGTTAGGTAAACCGGGCTACAGGTACTTGATAGAATAATATCCTGGATTTTAAAGTTCTGTTTATAAATGATGTTATATACTTATGCTGTAAGATGAAGTGACAAACACTAGGTACAAAACTGAATATACAGGAGGTTGGGAAATTAAGTTAAAATGCACAGAGAAAATATGAAAAGAAAATGCAATGAAATGTTAGCAGCTCTGGGTGGTGAAATTATGGGTGATTTTTATTTTCTTCATTATACTTTCTAAATCATTTGCAGCGAACACCTATTACTTTATGATTAGGAAAACAAAGCAAAATGAAAACAAATGGAAAAGAATGAATCATGCCTTCCTCTCCATTCTTTTTGTTTAATTTTTAAATAGCTTTTGTTGGCTGGGCGCAGTGGCTCACGCCTGTAATCCCAGCACTTTGGGAGGCCGAGGCGGGTGGATCACCTGAGGTCAGGAGTTTGAGACCAGCCTGGCCAACATGGCAAAATCCTGTCTCTACTAAAAATACAAAAAATACTAGCCAGGCATGGTGGCACACACCTGTAATCCCAACCACTTGGGAGGCCGAGGCATGAGAATCATTTGAACCCAGAAGGCAGAGGTTGCAATGAGCTGAGATCATGCCGCTGCACTCTGGCCTGGGTGGCAGAGAGAGACTCTGTTTCAAAAAAAAAAGCTTTTATTGTTTTTTTTCCTTTTATAAATGCAGTACATGTTCATTACCCAAAAATCAGCAGATGGAAAGAGACAAAAAAAAAAGAAAAGAAAAAACACTCACAGGCATTCTACCCAGACACACCCATCTTATGGCTTGGTGTATATCCTTCCAAATCCTCTTCCACATGAGTATATGTACAAATGCACACTGCATGCACATGTGTAGTATATATGTATAATAATATCAAGCACGTGTAGCACCTCATGTGTGCCAGGCTCAGACCTTAGCACTTGCTATATGGTAACTCACATAGTCTTCACAGCAGCTCTTAGGTGCTACAACCCCATTCTACAGATATGTGCTATGCATATGTTAATACTATTCCATAGTATTCTTCTAGTACTAACCATGCTTAGCCTTGCATTTTAGACCCTGCATCCCCCAGATGCTTGAGAGCAGGGAATGGAAATCGTTTGTGTTTCCTCCTTGTCTAGAGTGGATAACAGATGAACGTTGTCTTGACCGCCTTTTCTGGTGGAGCCTCCCAATGCCTTGTGGCTGCTCCTTCACATGCACGGAATACTTGAAAGGCCCTGCATTTATTTCCTACCTTCCTGCCTTCCTGTCTTCCCGTCCTCCTTCCCTCCCTGTTGCCCAAGCTGGAGTGCTGTCATAGCTCACTACAGCTCCACCTACTGGGCTAAAGCAATCTTGCTGCCTCAGCCTCCCAAGTAGCTGGGACTACAGGCGTGTATCACCACGCCCAGCTAAGTTTTGTATTTTTTTGTAGACACAGGATTTCACCATGTTGCCCAGGCTGGTCTCAAACTCCTTGGCTCAAGTGATCCTCCCACGTCAGCCTCCCAAAGTGCTGGGATTATAGGCATAAGCCACCGTGTCCAGCTCCTGGATTTCTTAGCTAGGGAGGCTGTAGGGCCTGATGGTAGGGAAAAAGAAATGGTGTCTCACACCTTAATATGCGGTCACTGAAATTTCAGTAAGCCTTGGTTTCACCACACGAGGATGTCTGGGAAGCTCCTGCCCTCTTCCGGGCCCTGTTTTGCTGCTCTGCAGTCGTCTTCGTTACAGATGGATATTACATCAGCCCTGAAGACTGACATATTAGCATCTGTCTGTGCATTCATTCAACAAACAGACACAAGTGTTCACCCAGGGCCAGGGGACTCTGGGGACCTAGAGATGGGTCAGATGAGTCCCCTGTTCTCCAGAAGCTCACAGTCTGCTGGGGGAGTCAGACACACAGACAGGTGACAGCAGCACAGTGTGGCCAGTGTGGTTCAGAGGGACTCACAGGGAGCTGTGGAAACACAAAGAAAGGAGCCTCCCCTGCCCTGGCTTGGGAAAGGCCCTCCAAAGGATAGCCCGAGCTAGGATGGGAGGAGGCAGAGGAGCATGGCAAGCTGAAGGCCTGGAGGCTGGAGAGAGCACAGACACAGCAACAGCTGCCAGGCGTGAGTCTCAGCAGCTTAGGGAGGGGGAGGAATCTAATTGGATCTGCACCAGGCAGTTTTCTTTTTTGTTTGTTTTGTTTTGTTTTGTTTGAGACAGGGTCTCACTCTTGCCCAGCTGGAGTGCAGTGGCATGATCATGGTTCACTACAGCCCCAACCTCCTGGGCTCAAGCGATCCTCCTGTCTCAGTCTTGAGTAGCTGAGATTACACGCATGAGCCACCATACCCAGCCAACCAAGCACTTTTCTTCATCTCATTTAATCCTGGTAACAGTTCTGAGATAGGTGCTGTTATGGGGAAGTGCGTTTCTTTTTTTTACCAGTGAGGACACTGAGGATTATATTGGTGAAAGAGCTTGCCCAGATCACATGGTTGGGGATTTATACCCAGAGGCCTAATCTCTAGAATGAGGGTGGTAAATACCCCTGCATCACTCAGGTACTAAACTTTAAGGCACTGACCTTAAAGAGGGTCACCCCTCTTTTTTTTTTTTTTCTTTGAGACGGAGTCTCGCACTGTCACCCAGGCTGGAGTGCAGTGGCGCGATCTCAGCTCACTGCAAGCTCCGCCTCCCAGGATCACGCCATTCTCCTGCCTCAGCCTCCTGAATATCTGGGACTACAGGCGCACCCCACCATGCCTGGCTAATTTTTTGTATTTTTAGTAGAGATGGGGTTTCACCGTGTTAGCCAGGATGGCTCGATCTCCTGACCTCGTGAACCGCCTGCCTTGGCTTCCCAAGGTGCTGGGATTACAGAGGTTCACCCCTCTTTAAGAGGCCTAGAGCCTGGAAATAGATTCAGTGAGGAGGAGTTGATGGAACTGGGACCTCCTGGGGTGGGAACTCACCTTTTTTTTTTTTTTTTTAGATGGAATCTTGCTCTGTTGCCCAGGCTGGAGTGCAGTGGCATGATCTCGACTCACTGCAACCTCTGCCTCCCAGGCTCAAGCAATTCTTCTGCCTCAGCCTCCCAAGTAGCTGGGACTACAGGCGTGCACCACCACGCTTGGCTAATTTTTGTATTTTTAGTAGAGACGGAGTTTTGCCACGTTGGTCTCGAACTCCTGACCTTAAGTGATCCGCCCACCTTGGCCTCCCAAAGTACTAGGTTTATAGGTGTGAGCCACCACTCCTGGCCGGGAACTCACCTTTTTCAAGTGACTCTTTTGTGCCAGTGCTGTGCTACATGCTTATGCATATTATTTCATTTAGCCTAGAGATGAGCAAGCTCAGAGGTCCAAGGTGGGCCCTTGAGATCTCTGCAGAGGTACCCTGGGGCAGAGGAAGCAGCCCAGAGAGCAGGGCTGGAATGGCATTGGGAGTGGGCAAGGCTTTGATGGGAGCAGGTTTCAGCTCAATGTAAGTTGTAAAGACCTCCCTGGCAAAGGATTTGGCCTACAGTAGAGCAAACTGCCTTGGGAAGTAATGAGCCCCCTGTCAGTAGAAGTATGTAAGCAGAGTCCTTGTGGGGATGCTTTAGTAGGCAACCAGGCCACTTACAGGATGGGCTATACTGTTATGTTCCCTTTCAGTCCCCATATCCCATCATCTCCATTACCCAAACCTCACATGCCTTTCACAAACAAGGACGGCTTTCTGGAGGAGGTAGAGAGGGGACATAGGTGGTTGGACACCAAGGAAGGGCACTGCCGTCCAGTTGAAGGAAGCTCAAGGAAAAGTCCCATAGTAGAGGGGATAAGGTGAGACTCTCCCAACCCACCTGTCATACATACCCCTTCTGTTCCCCAGTATGGTGAGCTCCTCTTGCTGGCTGCGGGCACGGGCCTGGCCCCCATGGTGCCTATCCTGCAGAGCATCACAGACAATGAGAATGACGAGACTTTTGTCACTCTGGTCGGTTGCTTCAAGACCTTTGAGAGCATCTACCTGAAAACCTTCCTCCAAGAGCAGGCCCGTTTCTGGAATGTCCGTACCTTCTTTGTACTCAGCCAGGTGAGCCCAGGGTGGTGACTTTCTTTTTTGATTGAGACTCTGCTGTCCCTTTGCACCTGTCCTGAGGACCAGCTCTAGCCTCTTTTGGCAATGGATGCTGTGGTCATAATCCCTGCCACTGGTGGAGCACCCACCTGTATGGAAGGCAGGTGTTCTCATGTTCATTATACAGATGAGGAGATGCACATTCAGTGGGTGAAGCTGCCCACCGGCTCACGCTGCTGGACAGGGCTGAGGCCAGGATTTGAGCCCAGGGCTGTCTGGTTGCTGAGCTCTGGCTCTCACCCCATGCGTTACTGCCTCCCATCGCCCTCTGGCATCATCAGTTACATGGGCAGGGGCCTGGCTGTAGAGGGCAGGGCAGGCTGCAGACCTCCCTCCAACTGAGTGATGTTCCTTGAGGTGGAGACCACATGTCTGCCTCAGCACTCTCTCTTCAGTGCTTAGCATGATGCCAGGCACAGAACAGGGACTCCATTAGTGACTGCTGGAGTAAACTGATCTGAGTTCCCTGTGCTTGCTAGTATCCTCCCACCTCAGCCTGTCCCTCCATAGGAGGACCCCGCCGTAGCTGGCAGCGACTCTCCCTGCTGACCCCTCCTCCCTCTGACTCCACATCCCCTCCGCTCACTCAGGTAACCCTTCTGGGGCCACCCCCATAGGTTAGAGCATGGGGGATTGTCTGCCCCTCATCTCAAGCCAGGCCCTCAGCTACCTTTGGTGGCCTGCCTTTCCCTGGTTGGTAGCTTCACTTTTCCCTCCTGTCCCCTCTGGGTTGGGATTCCTGCTGGGCCCCCTGTGTTCCCTGGTGCTCAGGGTCAGCCTTCTTGCCCGGTGCTGTGGGGTACCATTCTCATCTGGTCCCGCTATGAGGCAGCTTTATGTAGTCCCTAAACACTTACTTGATCCTCAACATTGTAGCTGGGTGTGGAGGGTGAGGAAATTGGATTTCCCGTCCCAATATAAGGGTCCCTGGGCTCCCCAGGGGCTGGGTTCTGCAGGCCTGTCCATGGGGCAGAATGCTCAGTGGCATGACATGAGAGCGTGGTGAACATTTATAGCAGCGGAAAGTGCCCAAGGAATGAGAATGGAGCCAAAGGCTAGCGTGCAGCCCAAGGGGTGGGCGCGAGGGATGGGCCACTGTTGCCCAGCAGCATGGGCAGCCTGCCTGAGAGCCTGGACAAGGATGCTGGGAGGAGGGCAGGAAGGCAGCACCTGGCAGAGGGTCCCCAAGCTGCTGGCCAGCCTTGCTTTCCCTCCTCTGTCGCCTGAGAATGTGGCAGGTGTCAGACACACAACAGTGAAGGTGACCCACTCCCAGCCCTCCGGCTGCTCACCTATCTATGGGTGACAGCCACAGAGACGGCTGAAAAGGACTCCCCTTCATTCAGCACATTCTCTGTAGCCAGCACCATTCTAAGCACTTTATTTAATTTAATCTCCACCACAATCTTATGAGGCTTATACTCCCATCATGCTCCTTGTACAGATGTGGAAACTGAGGCACAGAATGGTTAAGAACCTTGCCCAGGGTAACACAGCAAGTTAGTGGAGAGTGGAGTATGAACCCAGGAGGTCCTGTTCAAAGGCTGTGGTCTTAGTGCTCCTCAGAATAAGGCAGCACAGCACAAGGTGCTGTGAGGATGTTCGGGATGCCAGTGGTGGGTAGAGGCCAGGCAGGGTCAGGGATGGCTTTACCAAGCAGGTGGCATTTCCGTTAAAGTTCACCAGCAATAGAAGATTTTTAGTCCCCAGCTGGGCCAGGGTGGTGCCAGTGGCCTGGGGTTGGGCAAGCGAGTGGGCTGGCCATCAGTGGCAGGTGAAGGGGGTGACTGGTGGCTCCTGCCTGTACACACTCTCTTGACTCAGTGTGCTCTCTCCCCTGCCTGGGCCACAGCTGCAGCATCCTCAAGAGTCTCCCCGTACCAGCCACTCCCTGCTGATTTGTCCTGCCTCCTGCAGTCCTAAAGGCAGATCTGACCCTACCACCACCCTGTTTCTAGCCCTTGCCTGGCTCCCTACTGCTCACAGGATGAGGTCCATGCCTGGGAACTGCCTCCCTCTGTGGCCTCATCTCCTAGCCCGCCCTCCCCGTGAGCTGTGGCCTGATGTCATGGGTCTGCCTATGGTTGCAAGTGTGCTGTGCTTTTCTGGCTTCTGGGCCTTTGCTCACGCCATTCTGCCTGCCAGGAGTGCTCTCCTTTCCTCACCTCCCACCTCTGTACCCCTCACATCCCTGTTGAGGTAGAAGTCCATCCTGGAAGCTTTCCTAGAGCCCCCAGGCTGGCCTTGATGGTTCTGCTGCCACCACCCTGGCTCTCCTTCACAGCACCCACCTGCTGCACCGTCACTGTTTGTGGGGTCCCCTATCCGTCTCACCAGCAGCCAGGCCCAGGGCATCTCAGGGTGCATGGTGGGATAGGCTGAGCTGAACCTAAGTGGTCTGAGGGAAATGAGCAGTGGAAAAGGGGAGGTGAGGCCAGTGGGCCCCAAGGCCCCATCTGGTGGGTCAGACCATAGTGGGAGCTTGGGAAATGCCAGATCATCAGAGAGGATCCCCCTCATCAGCACAGACTCTGTGAGGTGGGGCTCCAGGGGACCCTGTTTGTTTTGTTTTGAGACAGGGTGTCACTCTGTTGCCCATGCTGGAGTGCAGTGGTGCAATCATAACTCACTGAAGCCTCAACCTCCCTGGGCTTAGATGATCCTCCTACCTCAGTCTCCCAAGCAACTGGGACTATAGGCACATAGCATCACCCCTAGCTAATTTTTGTATTTTTTGTAGACCAGCTTTTGTCACATTGCCCAGGCTGGTCTTGAACTCCTGGGCTCAAGCGATCCTGCCACCTCAGCCTCCCAAAGTGCTGGGATTACAGGCTTGAGCCACTGCACCTGCCTCCAGGGCCCTTTGAGTGTGCCTCAGAATAGAGGCCTCTCCTCACAGGGCCTCTCCCAGGGCTTACACCAGCACCACGGCTCTCTGGACAGTGGCTTTCCATAGTGGATACTCTCCTCACAATCATGATCCTGAGAGGTCACAGTCACTCAGCAGGAAAGTGGCAGTGGAGCTCCACTCCCCACCAATCCTGTCTTTGTGCCTAGCCCCAGGAACTAGCAACTTGCCTTCATAGGATCTGCAGAGTGATGGCTCTGTTCTGGATTTTGTTTTTTTGTGGGCTTGTAAGATGGTTTTTTCATTTAAATTCTTCAGACTATATATAGTTGTCCCTTGGTATTCATGGGGGATTGACTCCAGGACCCCCTGCAGATAGCAAAATCTGAGGATGCTCGAGTCCTTGATATAAAATGGTGTGGTATTTGCATGTAATCTATGCACATCCTCCCATGTGACTTAAATTATCTCTAAATTATAATACCTAATACAATGTAAATGTTGAGTAAATAGCTCTTATACTGTATTTTTTGTGTGTTTCTATTGCTATATTGTTATTTTTTAATGTTTTTTAAAAAATATTTTCAATCCACAGTTGGTTGAATCCACAAATGTGGAACCCATGGATACAGAGGGCTAACTGTATACTTAATGATTTGTATACTTTTCTACACATATGTTGTACTCCAATAAAATGTTCATTTAAAAAAATAGAAGAAATTCCTTCAAGTCACCTGGGAGTGGAGCCTTCATTTTGTGACCCTGAGGAGGAAAGCTGCAGCTAAGGCTAGAAGGGCAGAGAGAAGGATCCTGGGTCCGTGGGGTCACCGTCCAGCCTTGGAATGCGAGCTTAGCCTTTCTCAGTGAAGGCATTGTGACCTGGGATCTGTGCTGTATGCAGCCAGGACCCTTGTCTCTTCTGAGCAGCTGCCATATCCCCAGTGGCTAGCTCGGTGCCTGGCACAGAATAAGCACTTGGTAAATATCTGCTAAATGAATATGTTCATTGAAACCTTAAAAGAAATGAGCAAAAGTTATGCTCCGAGGGTGATGATGATAGCTAACCTTGGAAAGATTCTGGGAAACCCACAGTCAGGGGAGAAAACATCCGTCCCACAGTGACAGGTGTGGCTGCTGGAAGGCAGTGAGAAATGGTGGGACTTGAGTTCTGGTCCTGCTGCTGCCCCCGCCTCATTGTGTGCCACAGGGAAGTCCCTCTTCCCTGTGCCTCTGCTGTCGTGGGAGGGTGATAGTTCTCACAGGCTTGTTTTGGAGATAAGGAGGAAATGCCTGGCCCATGGTGGGCCTGGATATAGGTTGGCTTCCTACACCCTCTGCCTTGGTTTCCTCATTTTGCAGAGGAGAGCTGGCTGTGTGAACACTAAGGACCCCCCGCTCCCTTGTAGTCACCCATGCCTTTCTTGTCTTCCCAGGAGAGCTCCTCAGAGCAGCTTCCCTGGAGTTACCAAGAGAAAACCCACTTTGGCCACCTGGGCCAGGACCTAATTAAAGAGCTGGTCAGCTGCTGTCGGAGAAAGCCATTCGCACTGGTCTGTGGCTCGGCTGAGTTCACCAAAGACATAGCCAGGTGCTTACTGTGCGCAGGCCTCACTGAGGACTCCTATTTCCTCTTCTAGCCCTGGCCTCTCTTCCAAAGCCTAGGCCATGAGCCTGCTACTGGGACCCAGGAAGGAGCACAGACTGGAATCAGAAGACACGGAGTCCAGGCCTGGTCCTGCTGCTCATTTGCCAGGTGACCTTGGGCAAGTGTCTTTACTGCTCAGAACCTCTACTTCTCATCTGCCCCATGAGGTTAATCACTCCTCCTGGCCTCCTACTATGTAGAAGGAGGATGGGCTGTAGGGGCCCTGAGGAGGTGAGCAACCAGCCTGGGAGTCAGGGAGGACTCTTCAGAGGAAGCCAAGTCCAGGCTGAGCCCCAGGAGGAGTAGGAGTTGGGCAGGGGAAGAGTCGGGAGGAGCTTCCCTGGCCCCTCCGATTAGAGGATCTAATGGGGGCTCCAACTGTGGCCTCAGCACCATCTCGGATTAGGGGCTCCTGAGTGTGTAGGGAAGGACACGGGAGAGGCTTAGAGCTCTTTGGAGGAGGATTCTGCCTTTCCTCCAGTGCCATGAGCCTGACACATGAAGGTCTTGGGTTCTATGACTTGACCACATCCTGAGAGCAAGGTGGGGCCCTCGACTGTCTTGTATTGGCCCCAAGCCTTTCTTGCTGTGAACAGCTTCATTCTCAGTCCCCTTTCCTGGCTCAAAAATCGAGCCTAGCAAAAGAAGAGGCACGGGAAGGAAACGCCCCTCCCTCCTCCTGCAGGCAGCCACTCAGCCTGTGCCTTCAGCTTGGTGCCCTGGTGATGGTTGCTATGGAGATCTAAAGATAGAGCAGGAGTCAGGAGACCTGGGTCCCTCTCCCAGCTTGTCCCACTGAGCGGCTGCCGATCACGGTCCACCCACCCCAGGAACCTGGCACCCCTATCCCAGGAACCCAGTGCCCCTGGGCAGCGCACTGCAGTTAATGAATTCTGCCTTCAACAGCCTGGGCTCTAGCGTGCTGCACCAGCTTGGGCTAGCTACAGGCAGTCCCAGAATTGGAATATTAAGCCATGGAATCTTAGAGTTAGACTTTTATAGTCATAGAAATGTACTCTTCACCATATCAAAGCTGAAAGTTCAGGACTCTAAGAAACATACAGTGTGACAGACTTATCGTATACACGGGAAACTGAAGCCCAGTGAGACTAAATGACTTGCCCAGGGTAAAACAGTCCATGGCAGAGCCAGCACTAGAAGCCTCCTAGCTTCAACCTCATGTGCCAATTCTGCATCAGTGATTTTCGAACTGCGCTCTACAGGAAGCAAGGGTTCTTTGCATAGCAGCAGTGAAAGGACAGCTCCAGATGGATCCCCAGTACCCCCTTCAACCAGAGCAGCTGCATTTTTATCCCATTCATATATTGGGGTTTTGAATTATTTTTATTTGTACAAAAGGATTTTCCTAGCCACTAAAAAAAATGGCAACAAATCTCTCTGCTGTGTCACATTTAATAAATAATTGTGACACATAGCTGGGGGGTGGTGCTGGAGGTTTCAGACCGCCTCACAGGCAGAGTTCCAGGGTCAGAGAGCATGGAGTACTGTGTGTGACCTTCTTCCAGAAGCACGGGCACAGGAGCATGTTAAAGGCCCTGAAAAGACCAGTGGCAAAGAAACTCCTTTCATTTTGTTTAATCCAGAGTTTTTCAAGCTTATTTAACTATAGAACACTTTTCTGTGGGTTTCGTAGCCTCTTTCTAGCACAGTATAGTGAGTGGGAAAGGCCCTGACTGAGAGTCAAAGATTCTGAGCAGGAACCATGATCTCTTCCTGCCTAGTATGTGACTTGAGCAAGACACTTTTCCTCTCCCCAGGCCTCTGAGGTCTGCGAGTTTTCCTCCACCCTTTCCTCTCCCTCAGTTTGCACATCCTATTGACTCAGCTCCAAATAGCGGGGGCCTGTCAGGAGCCTGACTCTGTTCAGACACCAGGGAAACAACAGCACACCAGGCAGATGCAGTTATGTCCATCGGGGAACTTACAGCCTAGCAAGGAAGGCAGCAATTCAACCTGTAAGTCTAAAAGTGATGGGTGTCATGAAAAGGTAAGTGCAGGGTGCTGGGAGAGTGGTTGGCAGGGGCTTTAGCCTAGTCTAGGGAGAGCCCAGGGGCACACCACTGCCAGCGGGGATAGAGGCTTCAAAAGCTTTGAAGTCACTCATATTAAGAGTGTTGCCGGACACGGTGGCTCATGCCTGTAATCCCAGCACTTTGGGAGGCTGCGGCAGGCAGATTGCCTGAGCCCAGAAGTTCGAGGCCAGCCTGGCCAACATGACAAAACCCTGTCTCTACAAAAAAAAAAAAAAAAAAAAGATTAACCTTATGTGGTGGTATGCGCCTGTAGTCCCAGCTACTTTGGAGGCTGAGGTGGGAGTATTGCTTGAGCCAAGGAGGTCGAGGCTACAGTGAGCTGTGATTGAGCCACTGCACTCCAATCTGTGTGACAGAGCAAGACCCTGTCTCAAAATAATAATAATAAAATCAAAAAGAGTGTTAAGGGGGTCTCCACTTAAGGAGTAGAGAGTCCGGGGCAGTTCTCGTATCTCTGTCCTTGTCTCATTTTAGATGTTTAGATATTTAGATATTATACAAGGCCACCCAGTGGTAACCAACCTAGAATGTGTTGGCCTCCTCTTCCCCTCACTCCGTGTAGGTTCTGTGCAGCCTGGCTGCTGGTGGCATCTCTTATCATGGGACATTGGTGGGGACCCAGCCGTGCCCTTGGTGCCAAGAAGCCTAAAGGGCTCCTGTCGCCTGGAAACTTGAGAGTGCAGGGTCGGGTGCTGTGCCCCACAAGGTGCTGAGCAAGCCCAAGAAGAAGAGTGTGGGGTGTGGTGTGTGAGTTCAGACCTCTTGGAGCTGTGGGGGCATGGTTCCCATCAGCTGCTGTTCCTCTGATGATGCCCACTGCGTGTTGTGGGAGGCGTGGCCACCGTGTGATGTTGTAGTAGGAGAAGGGAGACTTAGGAGCTAGACATGATACGCAGGCATCAAGAGGTCAACCAGGTGTCCACAATCTGTGAGCCACACAGAGCTCTCTTTGTGCATATGCATCCCAAGCTTCAGGAAGGCAACAGCTACTAGAGGGCCTGAGGACAGATTCTTGGTCGCAGAAGCGGCATTGGCTTTAGTTCAGCCCTCACCATGTTTACCAACGTCACTTCTGTGTTCCCCTCATGGGTCTCCCAGCTCCCAGTCTCCATGCCACCTCCACGCTGAGACCAGACCAGTTTTCCCCACACACAAATCCAAGCCTGTCACTCCCCTGCTTGAAATCCTTCCCTGTCTCCCTGTGGCCTTGGGGTAGGGCCTCTCTGCTCTGCCACCTCTCCAGACTTTTTGTATGCCACCGCCCACTCACACCCACCTCTCAGGCTCCAAACATGTTCTCTTGCGTCAGCTCATCCCTTACACTCGCTGCTTCCTCTGCCTGGCCAGCCTCCCACCTTCCGATCTCCCACTCACCTTTTTTGCCTCCTCATCTTTTGAGGTCTCAGCTCAGTGTCACTTCCTCCCGGGAGCCTCGCCTGTCTCTTCCACTCCAGCTTGGTCAGTGAGCAGAGAGGCTTGTGTGCTTTTCTGTCGCTGTACCCATAAGTGTCATCTGCATGTGAGCATGAGGGCCGGCCCATTGTACCCCTAACAGGGGAGGATGCTCAGCACTTCCTGGATGTCGAATACCTGAGCGATAAACAACTAATGTTCAGGAAGTGCTTTCCAGGTGGCAAAAGGTGTTTCCTCTACTTTGAAGCAAGAATCTTCACCAATATACATGCTATTTTATTACCCCAATTTACTGATGAGGAAACTAAGCTTCTGAGACTTCAAGCGATTTTCCAAGGTCATGTAGGGATACACAAGTTCCAGCATGTGATTGTGGTAAAGGTTGTGTGTGACACATGAGTGCAACCAGAGATGTGTATAAAGATTGTTACTGGGCCGGGCGCGGTGGCTCACACCTGTAATCCCAGCACTTTGGGAGGCCGAGGCAGGTGGATCACGAGGTCAGGAGATTGAGACCATCCTGGCTAACACGGTGAAACCCCGTCTGTACTAAAAATACAAAAAATTAGCCAGGCGTGGCATGCGCCTATAGTCCCAGCTACTCGGGAGGCTGAGGCAGGAGAATGGTGTGAACCCGGGAGGCGGAGCTTGCAGGGAGCCAAGATTGTGCCACTGCGCTCCAGCCTGGGCGACAGAGCGAGACTCCATCTTAAAAAAAATAATAAAAGGATTGTTATTGATGACCAGGTGCGGTGGCTCATGCCTGTAATCCCAACACTTTGGGAGGCTGAGGTGGGCAGATCACCTGAGGTCAGGAGTTTGAGACCATGCTGGCCAACATGGTGAAACCCTGTCTCTACTACAGATAGAAAAATTAGCTGGGCATGGTGGTGCGCACCTGTAATCCCAGCTACTTGGGAGGCTGAGGCAGGAGAATTGCTTAAACCCAGGAGGCGGAGGTTGCAGTGAGCCCAGATGGCACCACTGCACTCCAGCCTGGGTGACAGAGCGAGACTCAGTGCCCCCCAAAAAAAGATTTTTATTGCTGCATTCTCTGAAATAGCAAGGAATTAAAAACTGCCTGTAGATACAGCAATTAAAGTGAACTCCATCCGCATGTACCAATATAGACGAAGTCCTAAAAACATAATAACTAAGTGAAATGTACATTGTGAAAGGATAGCTACAGTGAGATACCTGTACTTGGAAACTGTAAAAACCCAAAATAATGCTAAATGCTCAGGAAGAGACAGAGACACACCAGCTTCAAGGATAGTGGTGGCCTGTGGTGATAGGTGGAAGGGAATGGGATGGGGTGATGGGGTTTTTAGCCATATCTGTATTTGTATTTTACTATAAAAATACTTGACATAAACATGACAAAATATGAACCCCTGGTAAATCTGGGCAATGAGTTCCCCAATGTCTACTATATTATTTTCTACCTTTTTCTGTTTTTCAAATAGTTCCATAATTAAACATTTAAAAAAAAATCCAATGTGCTTGTTCAATGCTCTCTAGAAACTAGGGGCTTAGAAACATTCACTTTCTCTCTCCTACCTCAGAATGGACTATGCCTCTTTATCCCCCCACACATTTTAGCCATTCACTGAAGATTATTTCTGAGCATGAACTGTGTTCCAGGCCCCATTCTAGGTGCAGGAGACACAGCAGTAAATCATATAAATCATTCCTGGTATTCATAGCTGATGGGCTGTTCCCTCTACTTGTCCCTCTTCCTCATAAACTCAAACCAGAATGACTTGCCAAGCACCACACTGTTGGCCTATTTTTTTCTTTCTTTTTTTGTCGTTTTGTTTTCCTTTGTCAAGGAAGCAGACCTAGGTTTGAGTCTCTTACTGATCCTGTGACCTATGGCAAGTAACTTGGGCTCTGTGAACCTCAGTTTGCTCATCTATAAAATGGGAATGGTAACACTGTCTCCTGGGGTTGTGTGAGGATGAGGGAAATGTGTAAACCCCAAACACAGCACCTGGCACGGAGTGGGTGTAAGACCCCGTTCCCCCTTCTTTCTCCCTCCCCAACAGTGCCCTGACTCATGGTTGACCTCTGAGGACAGCATTTATTTCCAGACTTTCACTATCAAGAACTCTCCTTTTTATTATTTTTCCCATGCTTTGGGAGATTTTGATCCCAAATTGCATGTTTTAAGTCATTATTAATTTATCTCCCATTTTTTATTAATCAAAGACACAGATAGCTGCCCCTCAGAGCTTCTGATCTGTACATCCAGCTGGGAGCTGCAGTGGTTGACATAATTCCAGCCAGAGGCAAAGGAGCTCAGCAGTGTGTGTGGCCCAGGTGGCCCAAGGAGGGGAAACGTAGGTGCATCTTACTCTGTTTCTTTTTTTTAATGGACCATGAGTCATGGAAGCTGCTGGGGTTGCCCAGGTAGGTGCTGCTTTCACAGGGGATCACTGACTGATGGGCTGGAGGCTGAGGTTTGGGTGCCAGGGTCTAATGTGGGGCCCCACGTGGGCCTCATCCTGCAGGGCTCACTCCAAACAGATGTCATGCACCAGTGCCACGCAGAAGAGCGTGGGTTCACATAGTGGGAGGTGGGAAAGCTGTCTGCATGCAGGTCCCACAGGCTCTGGCTGGAGACCACCACATCGTCCTGCCCCTGGCTCCCAATGCTAATAGAGCAGACTAACTTGTAGCGGGGCAAGGTGACACCCTTGACCTGGTCCCAGCACTCAAAATCATGGCCAGGTGGGCACAATGGGCCGGCTGGTGGGCCTCACCAGCCAGCTTAGAAGGCAGGTGAGCCATATCAGCTCCTCTGCCCAGATGCAGGGGAACTTCACCTCCAGCCTGGTGGACCCCAACGGAACCTGGAAGGAGAGGGAGGTGGTGGTGGTGGAGGAGGAGGGGTGTATTTGCAACAAGCAGAGCATTTGGCACATTAGGCTTGAAGCCTAATGTGTTGAACACAGAACCCTGAGTTGGAACATATGATTTGGAACAATGGAGGGAAAATGGGATGTAGGCCCTGGAACACAAGAAAACAACTTTATAAACTGTAGAGTGTGTGTATATGACAGAGATTAACCTAGCTTCCAAGTGGCTGAGGCTACAGACCCATGAGGCTACAGGCTGAGGCCCGTGGCCCTCAGTCCCCTCCCTCTTGCTGCATCCCCAGGCCACAGGCCCATACTTGCTCCTGGAAGATGCTGATGAGCCACCGGTGACTCAGCTAGAGCTGCAACCGTGTTCTCAAAGCTGTCTGTTTCTATAAAAATGAAAATGAGTGTCAAGGTAGACAGCATTTGCTAAGTGTCTACTGGGTACCAGGCTGTAAAATGTTACTGTTTTAGGCTGGGTTTGCCCCAAAGCTGACGCTGAACAAGGATGTGGGTGCAAGAAGTTTATGTGGAGGTGCTTCAGGGAAGCATGGTGAGGAAGTCATGGGGAAAGACAATGAAGGGCATGTGGATGGACAGGCTACTCCTGGTGGCACCCGGAGCTCTTTCTGCTGGGGCCTTGCCAAGAGACTGTGTGGAACATGCCTCAGTGATCCCACCGAGGGATGGAGAAGCTGGGGCATTTATGCACCGACAACCAGACTCCTTATTGGCCGAGAACATGAACTCCTGGCACTTCAGCTTCCTCTGGGTGGGCCAAGTGTTTGGCAGCCAGAGAAGCCCCCAGGCAGAGACACACAGGAAGCCATCAGTGCACATAGAAAAGTTCCCGCAGTTACCTCCAGTTGGGCGGGGGATATGGATAAGCACATCAACAGTGTCTGCTATGTCACTTTGCTTTATTCTCACAATCCTTAGGGATCAGCAGCTTCTTTATTTTATAGGCAAAGAAATTGATAAGCAAGAGGTAAAGGAGCTAGTGGAGAAAGTGGTGTTCTTGTATGAGGGCAGGGCTCGATACTGTATCCCCTCCCCACCCCATGACCACATCTAGTGTGATGTCTGGCTGGCCACTGTGTGGAGGCAGTGTCTGTTGAAGGAAGGGGTGAGCTGGTGGAAGCCGTGTGACCGTGAGTTGGTGACCACTCTTCTGTCAGATGAAGATGCTGGTTCTTTCCTCCCGGGGCTGCTTTGCGGAGTAGAGGAGATTGTGTGAACCAAGTGGTCAGCTCAGTGCCTAGCCCACAGGGGAGTGTCAGTGAATGTTAATTCCCTTCTCCTGCTTCCCTCTAAGGGGATGATATGGTTTGGCTGTGTCCCCTTCCAAATCTTAACTTGAATTGCATCTCCCAGAATTCCCATGTGTTGTGGGAGGAACCCAGGGGGAGGTAATTGAATCATGGGGGCCAGTCTTTCCCATGCTGTTCTCATGGTAGATAATAACTCTCACAAGATCTGATGGTTTTATCAGGGATTTCCACTTTTGCGTCTTCCTCATTTTCTCTTGCCACCACTATGTAAGAAGTACCTTTCGCCTCCCGCCATGATTCTGAGGCCTCCCCAGCCATGTGGGACTGTAAGTCCAATTAAAGCTTTTCTTCCCCGTCTCAGGTATGTCTTTATCAGCAGCGTGAAAATGGACTAATACAGTAAAATGGTACCAATAGAGGGGGGCGTTGCTGAAAAGATACCCGAAAATGCGGAAGTGACTTTGGAACTGGGTAACAGGCAGAGGCTGGAACAGTTTGGAGGCCTCAGAAGAAGACAGGAAAATGTGGGAAAGTTTGGAACTTCCTAGAGATTTGTTGAATGGCTTTGCCCAAAATGCTGATAGCGATATGAACAATAAGGTCCAGGCTGAGGTGGTCTCAGATGGAGATGAGGAACTTGTTGGGAACTGGAGCAAAGGTGACTCTTGTTATGTTTTAGCAGAGAAACTGGCGGCATTTTGCCCCTGCCCTAGAGATTTGTGGAACTTTGAACTTGAGTGAGATGATTTAGGGTATCTGGTGGAAGAAATTTCTAAGCAGAAAAGCTTTCAAGAGGTGACTTGGGTACTGTTAAAAGCATCCCATTTTAAAAGGGAAACAGAGCAGAAAAGTTTGGAAAATTTGCACCCTGATGATGCAGTAGAAAAAAAAATTTTTTTTTTTTGAAATGGAGTCTTGCTCTGTTGCCCAGGCTGGAGCGCAGTGGCGCAATCTAGGCTCACTGCAACCTCCACCTCTTGGGTTCAAGCGATTCTCCTGCCTCACAATTTTTTGTATTTTTAGTAGAGACGGGGTTTCACCATGTTAACCAGGATGGTCTCGATCTCCTGACCTCGTGATCCACCTTCCTCGGCCTCCCAAAGTGCTGGGATTACAGGCGTCAGCCACCACTTCCGGCCAAAAAACCATTTTTTAGGAGAAATTCAAGCCATGGAAATTTGCATAAGTAGCAAGGAGCCTAATGTTAATCCCCAAGACCTTGGGGAAAATGTCTCCAGGCCATGTCAGAGAACTTCACGGCAGCCTCTCCCATCACAGGACCGGAAGCCCAGGAGGAAAAAGTGGTTTCATGGGCCGGGCCCAGGGTGCTCGTGCAGTGTGCAATCTAGAGACATGGTGCCCTACCCAACTGCTCCAGCCATGGCTGAAAGGGGCCAATGGACAGCTTGGGCTATGGTTTCAGAGAATGGAAGCCCCACTTGGCAGCTTCCACGTGGTGTTGAGCCTGTGGGTGCACAGAAGTCACGAGTTGAGGTTTGGGAACCTCCACCTAGATTTCAGAGGATATATGGAAACGCCTGGATGCGCAAGCAAAAGTTTGCTGCCGGGGCGGGGCCCTCATGGAGAACCTCTGCTAGGGCAGTGTGGAAGGGAAATGTGGAGTTGGAGCCCCCACCGAGTCCCTACTGGGGGTACCGCCTAGTGGAACTGTGAGAAGAGAAGAGCTACCGCCGTCCTCCAGACCCAGAATGGTAGATCCACCGACAGCTTGCGCCGTGTACCTGGACAAGCTGCAGACACGACAACACACAACTCCAGCTCTTGAAAGCAGCCGGGAAGGAGGCTGTACCCTGCAAAGCCACAGGGGCGGAGCTGCCCCAGACCATTGTAACCCACCTCTTGCATCAGTGTGACCTGGATGTGAGACCTAGAGTCAAAGGAGATTATTTTGGAGCTTTAAAATGTGTCTGCCCTGCTGGATTTCAGACTTCCATGGGCCCTGTAATGCCTTTTTTTTTTTTTTTTTTGGCATTTTCTCCCATTTGGAACACCTGTATTTACCCAATGCCTGTACCCCTGTTGTATCTAGGAAGTAACTAGCTTGCTTTTGATTTTACAGGCTCATAGACAGAAGGGACTTGCCTTGTCTTAGATGAGACTTTGGACTGTGGACTTTTGGGTTAATGCTGAAATGAGTTAAGACTTTGAGGGACTATTGGGAAGGTTTTGAAGTGTGAGGACATGAGATTTGGAGGCCAGGGGCAGAATGATATGGTTTGGCTGTGTCCCATTCAAATTTCAACTTGAATTATATCTCCCAGAATTCTCACGTGTTGTGGGAGGGACTCGGGGAGGTAATTGAATCATGGGGGCCATTCTTTCAAACCCTGCTGTTCTCGTGATAGTGAATAAGTCTCACGAGATCTGATGGGTTTATTAGGAGTTTCCGCTTTTGCTTCTTCCCCATTTCTTTTGCCAGTACCTTTTGCCTCCTGCCATGATTCTGAGGCCTCCCCAGCCATGTGGAACTGTAAGTCCAATTAAACCTCTTTTTTTGGCCGGGCGCGTTGGCTCACGCCTGTAATCCCAGCACTTTGGGAGGCCGAGGTGGGTGGATCACCTGAGGTTAGGAGTTTGAGACCAGCCTGGCCAACGTGGTAAAAACCCATCTCTACTAAAAAAATACAAAAATTAGCTGGCTTTGTGTAATCCCAGCTACCCAGGAGGCTGAGGCAGGAGAATCACTGGAACCCGGGAGGCAGAGGCTGCAGTGAGCCAAGATCGTGCCACTGCACTCCAGCCTGGGCAACAGAGCAAGACTCAGTCTCATAAATAAATAAATAAATAAATAACACCTCTTTTTCTCCCAGTCTTTGGTATGTCTTTATCAGCAGCATGAAAACGGACTAATACAGGGGAGCTGGGGTCTTTGGCAAGGAGCAAACCTTCTTGCCCAGTTCAGTGATCCCTGGCCCTCTGGATAAATGGATCTTTTCCTCCAGGGAATCTCCAGAATATCTCTACTGGCTCTGTCCAGCCAACTCTGAAGCCTGTCCAAGTTCCCCCATGGTAATGCCACAAAGCCCAGCACCAGCCTGCCTTACTCTGGGTTCCTCCAGGGAAGAATGCCTCGCCCCTGCCCCCTCATATTTCCCACCTTGCCTTGAAGAGCTGCTTACAACTTGCAGCGCCTGCTTCCTCCCCTCCCTTCATTCCTCAACCCACTGCAGCCTGGTGTCCACTCCCCATCTCCACCCCATGTGCTCCCGATAAGGTCCCTGCTATCCAGAGCTCATTTCTCAGCAGCATTTGAGGCAACGGTCAATTGCTTCCTTTCTGGGCTGCAGTTTCCTCAATAGGATAGTAATTCCTACCTAGTTGATTGTTCTGGGAACTAAATAAGTCATTCATGCAGGTGTTCAGCAGACATTCCCGAACACCTGCTTCTATGCAGGTTTTCTGCTGAGTTCCTGAGGACCCTGACTCGAGGAGTCCACCGTCTCCTGGGGGCTGCAGATGCTGTCAAAACAAATGTGAAAGGTCTGGTGCTCGGCCTGCTACCCAGTAGACACTCAGTGAGTGTGGGCTTCTGTCTTTTCTTTCTGCTCTCTCTGGGCCTCAGTTTCCACAGCCAGCAAAGGGGGTAGGAAGAGGGGGTTGGACTTGCTCTCTAGAGTCCCCTCCAGCTTTGCTAGTCCAAAGCTTAGGCACACCCTTCTCTCTGAGCTCTTCGCTGTCACTCTGAGCTCCCTGCTGAGCCTGTGAACAGTAGGAGGCCCAGGGGCCTGGGTGTGGCAGCTTCTGTGTCTGGGCTTTCCAAGCTCCAGCTTGGCTGGCCCTCTTTCCTGATGGAGGACCTGTTGAGGGAGCACTGCTCCCCTGACCGGAATGACCAGCAGCCTGAGGGGAAACACAAGTGGACAGGTTGGAGGCGGGAGAAACCCAGGGCTCTTAAAGAAGGAGCCTCTATGGGGGTCTTGCCCCCAGCTGCCTGCCTCTCCAGACATCTACAGCCCACGGCCCTCATCTGCACCCCAGCTCACAGCTCTTCCTCTCCACCAGTGAGGTTCCCATGTGTGGAATTAGCACTGTGGTAAGAACACAGGCTTTGGAGCTGGTCAGACATAGGTTCAAATCTCAGCTCTGCCATTGAGCCCCTGTGTGATTTTGGGCAAATCACTTAATTTCTCTGAACTGCAGTTTCTTTTTATTTTTTTCTTGAGACGGAGTCTCTCTCTGTTCCCCACGCTGGAGTGCAGTGGCCGCCATCTTGGTTCACTGCAACCTCTGTCTCCCAGGTTCAAGCAATTATCCCTGCCTCAGCCTCCCAAGTAGCTGGGATTATAGGCGCCCGCCACCATGCCCGGCTAATTTTTGTATTTTTAGTAGAGACGGGATTTCACCATGTTAGCCAGGCTGGTCTTGAACTCCTGACCTCAAGTAAACTGCCCGCCTCAGCCTCCCAAAGTGCTGGGATTACAGGCGTGAGCCACTGCACCTGGGGCCAGAACTGCAGTTTCCACATTTTTAAACTGTGGATGTTTTCATTCCTTCTCTCAACAGGTATCTGTTGAGCACTTAATCTGTGCCACGTGCTGAAACACAGCAGTGAACAAAATGCAGTTCTCTGCCCTCCCAGTGTTTAAGCTGGTAGGGAAGTCAGACAGCGAACCAGGGGTGTCAAGCAGGGTGATACTGCCCCTGGGGGAGTGTTTGGAAATAGTGGGGGATGCTAACGCCTCCCCACACAGCTATGGGTATTAAATGGGATAATGTGCAAAAGTATCACGCATTGAGCCTGGCACATAGTAGGTACTCAATAGATGCTGGTTGAATAAATAAAATGAATAAAAGCCATTCTCTCTGAGCCCTAGTCACCAAATAGTGAAATGGAGCTGGTAATTCTTACCTTGCAAAGGTGTTATACAGATCTTAATTTAAATTAATGAACGTTTAAATAGAGCTTCCCACATGGCCATGTGCTCTTCTTCCATACCCTTTACATTTTACCTCATTGTTCCCATTTTACAGATGAGGAAACTGAGATACAGAGGGGAGGTTAAGAAACTTGCCCAAGGTCACCTAGTTTGGATATGGCTGGATATGAGTGTGCCTGGCAAACAGTAGGAGTTCAATATTTGCTTTATTGTGGAGCAGGGAGGTGTTAGGCTTGGTATCCAGGGCAAGGCAGGGCACTGTGGAAGGCTCCTGTGCTGAGCTGTTCTTAGTCCCTAGAGCTGGTTGTGAATGAGTAGCCGAGGGGAGTTAGGGAGGGGTGAAGTGTGGTGGGAAGGATGAGAAGGGGTGAGGATGGGAAGGCCCACAGGGGAAAAGCCAGCAGCAAAACATTCCAGCCAACGCCCTGGAGGTCAGGGTCCTGGGACAGCCATTCCAGCAGGGAAGGGCACAGGGCAGCTTCCCTTCTGTAACCGTGAACTTCCTCCACGTACCTTGGCTTGCTGAAGGCCCTAACTTGGCCAAAGACGCAAGACTAATTAGTGGTCAAAGGAGTGTGAGGAGAGAATGGACCAACAGGAGGCTTCCTGTGCATATCTCCCCACCCTGCTGCCTCCTGGCCCTGCCGATCCTCTTTCAGGACCCTCTTCCATCCGACTCCCCTGGCGGCCCGATCTGGTGGCTCAGAGGACCAGCATTGCAGCTGGACAGTCCCGGATTTGAATCCTGGTTCTGCCACTTAGAGGATGTGAGGTCCTGGGCAGTTACTTCACCCCAGTTTCTTCATCTGTGCAATGGGCAGTTGTGGTCTCTATTCAGAGGGCCATGATGAGGATTAAATGCCCCCTGCAAAGTGCTTAGTGAATCCCCCAGCCCCGTCCGCGGCCCCTCTAGTCATTGCTCAGGTTGCTGTGGTGGCACTCATCCACTTGTGAACACATGGACACCTACTGGTGCACAGTGCTTTACAGTTTACAAAGCCCTTTTGCCTTCTGGATCTTGCATCAGTCCTCACGGCAGCCCAGCAAGGTACTTTACACGTGGGAAACTGAGGCCCACAAGAATAAGTGAGTGAGTTGCCCCAGGTTATGCAGCAAGTCAGATGTGGAACTAGAATCCAAACCCTTGCTCCTTCCACAAAACCATGGGCAGGAACAGTGGCTAGTGCTGCCAGGAACACTCATATCTCACAGAGCTATGAGGGGCAGGC
The DNA here is from genome assembly GCF_000001405.40 of Homo sapiens. Taxonomy (NCBI): domain Eukaryota; kingdom Metazoa; phylum Chordata; class Mammalia; order Primates; family Hominidae; genus Homo; species Homo sapiens. The sequence goes on along the minus strand of NC_000001.11, from coordinate 54,160,881 downwards.
GGATCCCACGAGGGGCCATTCTTTGCCTGACTCCCAGCACTCACCCTGCCCCAGCTTTGGAAGCAGCCCCTTCACGTTGCTGGGCCTCAGGTCCCTCATCTGTGATGTGGGGACAGTACACTCTCCTGCAGGTTTGGGAGGCTCAGCGAGATAGGGTGTGGGAGGGCCCAGAGCTAGGGGTGGGGGTCAAAATGGCAGCAATTCTGGCCCCCTCCTTACTTTCTTCCCACTGGCCCAGGAGCTGGAGGCTATGAAGGTCATGCCCTTGTCTGAGGGCTCTTGGGAAATCTTGTCTTTGGCCCATCTGGACTTCCAGGATGTCATTCCTGGCATGTGATTGTCACATTCCAGCCTTTGGGAACGGGAACTGAGCAGAGAGACTGTGAGAGAAATTGAGAGACTCAGAGAGAGGGGAAGGAAGGGGACACAGCGTCCTCATCCTCCTCTTGGCACAGTCCCATCCCTAGGGTGGGGTGTGAGGAGCCAGCAAGACCCCATGGGCTGCATCCCAGTCCACCAGCAGCCTTGGCTCGGTCAGGGTTGCCACTCACCTCCCTTGCTGTCAGCTTTCCACCTTTCTGTGTGATCCTTCACCCCTCTCTCTCCTGTATTCCTGCCCTGTTTCTCCTTCCCCTCCTCCATCATGTAGGGACCCCCACCCCACTCATACACACACCCACTTGTACTGTGCTGACTCCATGGCTACCAGGCTCTGACAGAGGAGGTCTGGAGGTAACAGGCACCTCAGGAGCAGAGAGTGAGGACTGTTTCCCGAGGGCCCTGCCTTGTGGCCTCTGCATAGGGCCCCTACTCATCGAAAACTCCCCCCCAAGTCCCCAGGGCCCTTGTTAAGGGAGAAATGTGGCTGCTGGAGCCCAGCCAGGAATCCCCAGGGGTGGAGTGGCCTTCCTGCTCCTGCCCTCTGCCACACCCCCAGGTCAGCCCAGACCTCTGTGGACAAGGAGGTGTTAGGCAGCACCTTGCTATCACCTGGGCACCACCCCTGGACCCGGGAACCAGTGACAGGATACAGATATGAAGACAAAACGTGCTTAGAGAGAGCCCCAGCTATAGAGGTGCACCCTTGGAGACCTCCACAGACATGCACAGAGGTATGCAGATGTGTACCCCAGAGCTTTGTGACCATCTATACTCAAAGCTCCACACACTCGGGCACAGATCTATACACCAGCAGAAGCTGTGTACCCATGGAATAGATGTGCACTTATAAAGATAGACGTGTCCATATGAAGAGACACACATATAGTTCTCGTGATACTCACACACACAGCTGTGACATTTGCATGTAGACATGGACATTCACTCAAAATCTTTGTATATATCCAGAGGGAGAAATAAACACATATATGTCTGGGTACATGCAGATCTAGTTGTATATCCCTAGATGTATAGAGAGACATGTATATATACTGAGACAGTACTGTGTGATCCAGGCGTGTGCACAGAGATGGATATGTGTACAAGGAAGCACGTGTGAATGCAATGATGGGTGCAGTGGCACAAGGCATATTCTTTTTTTTTTTTTTTTTTTAAGATGGAGTCTCACTCTGTCACCCAGGCTGGAGTGCAATGGCACGATGATCTTGGGTCACTGCAACCTCCACCCACTGGGTTCAAGCGATTTTCCTGCCTCAGCCTCCCGAGTAGCTGGGATTACAGGTGCTCACCACCATGCCCAGCTAATTTTTGTATTTTTAGTAGAAACGGGGTTTTGCCATGTTGGCCAGGCTGGTCTCGAACTCCTGACCTCAGGTGATCTGTCCGCCTTGGCCTCCCAAAGTGCTGGGATTACAGGCGTGAGCCACCACACCCGGCCACACAAGGCATATTCACAAGCAGAGGACAGTCACCCACAGAAAGACTACTATACTTAGTGCCCAATGCATAGATATTAAGATGGGATCATGTACCCAAGAAAACAGCAAGACCAGATGATGAACATTTATTTCTTCATTCTACTGTTAAGGTCATTTGGGGAGTTCCAGTTATTTGCTCTTTTAGAAAAAAACCTTTTAGTTAATTTTTAAGTCATGAGGAGGGAGACACCAAACATCTAAACATAATATCATCTACGCAAATGTTTACTATTTATACAGGCATCAGAGTAAACTAAAATAAAACTTCCCTTCAGCACATGGTTTTTGCTTTGGTTTGTCTTGGACTCTTTCGGTTCTTCATTTTTTGCTCCTTCCCTCCTGGCCCTCTAAGTGATATGAGGTCAAGTCATGGTTCTCAAGGTGTGGTCTAAGGAATCTTGGGGGTCTCTGAAACATGAATTTTCTGGCATACACCCAGAGATGGGTGCACATAGGTGCACAGTGCCAGAAATGGGCACACACAGCATCAGCCCCCTGCCCTTGGACAGCATCCATCCCAGGAGCATACTCTCAACCTCCTGGAGAGCCCTAGGCCTACTAGCTCCAGGGTGCTGCAGAGCCAGCCATAGACAGAAGCGGTCATCATATGCCAAGAGAGCCCCTGGAAGTTTGAGGCTGGGTCCTCCGGGCTCAGCCATGGGAGTCAGCACAGCAGGGCACTGGCAGGCACCCAGGCATCCATATTGACTCATCTTGTGGGTGGCTCAGGCACTCCCTAATGCCCCTGGCAGGCAGGCAGCCTTTGTTCCCTCTCTACCACCTCCCCTGGGGACCAGGAGAGAAGTCACGGCCAGGCTGCTGATTGGAGGGAGGGGCAGCCAGGCAGCAGGAGGCCCCACCCAGAGGTGACTTCAAGGAGAGATGGGTTCAAAAGAAAAAATACAAGAAGACCTGAGGTCTTCAATGAGGTCAGTGCATTCTGAACTTATTATACTATGTGCTGGCACAGGTCTCCACATTCCCCATGTGCTGGCCCCTTCAATCCTTATCACGCCTTGCAGGTAGACACCACTCTCCTCATTTCACCGACAACGAATCAGAGGCCTAGAGGGACCAAGTAACTTTACTTGTCCAAGGCCACACAGCTAGTAACTGCCAGAGTTGTGATTTGTACTGACATGGTCTGGGTTCTGGGTGCTCGTGCTGAACTGCTCTACCAGGCCACCCTGCCACTCCATCCAGCAGGTGCCGTAGTCTGAATGGCTGCTCCAAAACTCATGAAATCCCAACCCCCATGGCTCTGGTATTAGGCGGCAGGGCCTTTGGGGAGGTGATGGGATTAGCACCATTATAAAATAGGCCCACAGGAGCTTGTTCACCCCTTCCACCATGTGAGGACATGGCAAGAAGCCATCTGTGAGCCAGGAAATCGACCTCTACCAGACAGAATCTGCTGGCACCTTGATCTTGGACTTGCCAGCCTCCAGAACTGGGAGAAGTAAATGTCTGTTGATGATAAGCCACCCGGTCTACGGCATTTTGTTATGGCAGCCCACATGAACTCAGCAGGGTTAAAAGCAGATTTTGAACACATATGAACATGGGTTCACATTGACAAAGACATTTCCTAGCGGTGCATCCTTGAGTAGTGCAATCCATGGATGGCTGCTGAGCACTTAGGATGTGCTAGGGAGGCAGTGGAGACGGACATAAGGGAGAGGATGCGCTCTGGACCAAGTTCTGTGCAGAGCACTGGAATGAAAGCCCAGAAGGCCGAGGATATCCTCAGAAAAACCATCCAGCTGGGGTGCAGGTGTCCCCTCTGTGCTAGAGGTGCACCCAGCGAAAAGGAACTCTCCCAGCTTGGGGTGGGGTCAAGATAACCCCTTGGAGGAGGTGACAACTGTTTTAAAGGTTCAGAGTCCACCAAGGGCCAGTGGGGCAGAAAGCAGGGCAATGCAGGCTCAGGGCACAGCACATGCAGAGAAGTGAGAGAGATGTCGGGGGCCAGGGTATGGAGCTCGAGAGGTGGAGAAAGTCTGAGACGTGTTAGGGAGGTGACCTGAAGGGGTATGAATGCCAAAAAGAAGACTTTGGATTTTAGCCTAAGTGGTAGAATGGCATGATCATATTAGCATTTTATTTTATTTTATTTATTTTATTTTATTTTTTGAGACAGAGTCTCACTCTGTTGCTCAGGCTGGAGTGCAGTGGCGTGATCTCAGCTCACTGCAACCTCCGACTCCCAGGTTCAAGTGATTCTCCTGCCTCAGCCTTCTGAGTAGCTGGGATTACAGGTGCCAACCATCATGCCCAACTAATTTTTGTATTTTTAGTAGAGACAGGGTTTCACCATGTTGGCCAGGCTGGTCTTGAACTCCTGACCTCAAGTGATCCGCCCGCCTCAGCCTCCCAAAGTGCTGGGATTACAGGTGTGAGCCATCGTGCCTGGCTCAGATTCGCATTTTAGAAAGATCATAGGATGGGACAGGGCAGCAAGTAGTAGAATGTGGTTTTAGGGTGGGCAGGGAGCAGGCAGGAGCAGAGACACCCAGGCCAGTGAGGAGGCTGCTGAATCATGCAGGAGAGATGGCGAACTGGGGTAGTTATGGCTTCAGATGCCATTTCAGAGGCAGAAGTGGTAACTAAACTCAAGTGTGACCAATGGGTGTGGGAGTGAGGGGAAAGGAAGTTGGGGCAGGCTCCTACATTGCTGGCTTTATGGGTTGGTTGCACCATTATCTAAAATATGAACCATCAGAGGAGAAGCACATTTGGTGTTGGGGACAGTGACTAGTTTAGTTTGGGTGGGAGCTGTTGATTTTGAGGGTCCCAGGGGCCACTATGGCAGTTACCATGGATGGGGTGTCATTGAAAAGTCTGCTGAGGGTGCCCAAAACAGAAGTGGTTGTTTCAGGGAGTGGGACAAATATTTCAGAGGTAGGATGATTCTGGAGGTGATATGGTTTGGCTCTGTGTTTCCACCCAAATCTATAGAACTGTAACCCCCATGTGTTGAAGGAGGGGCCTGGTGGGAGGTGATTGGATTATTGGGACAGATTTCTCCATGTTGTTCTCATGATAGTGAGTTCTCATGAGATCGAATGGTTTAAAAGTGTGTGGTGCCTCCCCGCTTGCTCTCTCTCTCCTGCCCCATCATGGTAAGACATGCTTGCTTCCCCTTCCCCTTCCGCCATGATTGTAAGTTTCCTGAGGCCTCCCAATCATGCTTCCTGTTAAGCCTGTGGAACTGTGAGTCCATGAAACCTTTTTTCTTCATAACCCCAGTCTCAGATAGTTCTTTATAGCAGTGTGAGAACAGACTAATACACGAGTCTATCAAGTGCAGGGTGAGGTCACTGGAATGATGACAGTCTTTCTTTTTCTTTTTTTTGAGATGGAGTCTCACTCTGTTGCCAAGCTAGAGTGCAGTGGCATGATCTCGGCTCACTGCAACCTCCGCCTCCCGGGTTCAAGTCATTCTCCTGCCTCAGTGTCCTGAGTAGCTGGGACTAGAGGCACGCACCACCACGCCCAGCTAATTTTTGTATTTTTAGTAGAGACAGGGTTTCACCATGTTGGCGAGGATGGTCTTGATCTCTTGACCTTGTGATCCTCCCGCCTCGGCCTCCCAAAGTGCTGGGATTACAGGCGTGAGCTACCGCACCCGGCCGACAGTCTTTCATTATGGATGGCTCAGTAGGTGCTGTTATGGCCCTGCCCCATCCTGTGTCATTCACTGTTCCCATCATGCAGGCAGCTTCTGCCTGTAGCCCCCTGTACTCTCTGCCTCAGGGCTTTGGGGCCATGCACAGCAGGTTGGAAATATCTGGGAGATAAGATCCTCAGAGCAGCTTCCAACCAAGGGCACGGGGAGTTGGTGATCAACATTCTACTTCTTCCTCCACCGGTGAAACAGTGAGAGGCACAGTCTACACTGTGTCCTGGAGGTTCCCACTGGGACTTAGCCCTGGTTGCCCACAGTGGTAACTTGCTCACTGACATTCTTTGAACTAGCTTCTTTCCTCTCCTTGTCCCACTTCCTTACCTGTGCTTCCTGGGATCACCTCCCAAATCCACTACTTGTCCCGGGGTCTTCGTGTGAAGGAACTCAACCCAAAACAGTGGCTCCAGCCCTTTGAGCTTCAGTTTCCTCCCCTGTCCTTTGGGAGTATACCGAATGCTGTGAAAGCTGGGAGGCTGCACCCACATGTGAGGCTCCCAGCACCAGACCCTGCACCCAGCAGGTACTGGGTTGGCACTTTTCCCTGCCTTCCTCTCTCATACACACAATAGGTGTTTAAGAAACTCCCATCTGGCCAGGCACGGTGGTTCTTGTCTGTAATCCCAGCACTTTGGGAGGCCTAGGTGAGCAGATCACAAGGTCAGGAGTTCAAGACCAGCCTGGGCAACATGGTGAAACTTCGTCTCTACTAAAAATACAAAAATTTGCTGGGTGTGGTGGCAGGTGCCTATAATCCCAGCTACTTGGGAGGCTGAGGCAGGAGAATCGCTTGAACCCAGGAGGCAGAGGTTGCAGTGAGCTGAGATCACGCCATTGTACTCCAGCCTGGGCAACAGAGCAAGACTCTGTCTCAAAAATAAATAAAATAAAATAAAATAAAATAAAATAAAATAAAATAAAATAAAATAAAATAAAATAAAGAAACTCCCACTTTCTCAGACTGCCTGGAACAGCTGAACACTTCTTTCCTGCCAGTCAACCTCCACAGGTAAGCCAATCCCTCAGGCCTGACGGGTCCTGAGGCTCCGCTGAACACCTTCCACGAGTCTTCCTATGCCTGCAGCAAAGGGCTCCCCGGGGACTTCTGACAAAAGGATGGGCCAGAGGCACATGCTGTCTGGCAGAAGAGGCTGTCTGGGTTCCTCTAGGATAAATAGAAATCTTGAGTGCGTCTATGCACTGAGCCAGGCACTGGCTAAGACTTCTCATACACTATCACGTTTAATCCTCTCAGCAAACTGCAGGCTGCTAATTCTTGCTCCAGTTTCGCAATCCAGGAACCTGGCCTCAGAGTTACAGAGTTGGGTTACTTTCCCGGGCTACCACAGCCAGGCAGGGGTGGAGCCAGGATTCAGACCTTAGTCTGCCAGAAACAGCCCAGGATCCTCACTGGGAGAGCAGGAATGCGCCATGTTCCCCTGCTGTCCCCATGCCTGGCACAGGCTCTGCACAGAGAAGGAGCTTAGAAATGCATGTTGGGCTGAACTGAACCAAATCAAAAGACTCTAGATGAGAAGAAAGAGCCCGCTTCCTGTTGGACACAAAGTCCCCGGGGCATTTCTGCAGCGCCAGCTCCTTGTGCGGGGCCTGGCACATACGATGTTCAAGCAAGGCTTGGGATCAATAAAGGAGCGGGCATTCCATATTCTCGGCCGGAAGTTACACTGGCTCCCAGACCTATTATTGCATTAAGAGTTGCACAATACGATTTTCCAATTCTGTTATTCCTGCTGCATTCTTGCGTGAAAAAGACTTTTCCCTCAACTGTCTGCAGCAACCTCCTTCCCTCCTCTGAGCTAAATCCGCATGTCTGAAGGAAGTTGTCCTGCGTGTCCCACTAAATACAGGCTCCTTTCAGCTCCCTCGGAGTGGGGATGGGAAGAACCTGTAGCGAGCACCTACTCTGTGCTTTAGCAAGTGAGATCTCCTTTCATTTGCACAACAGCCCCTGGGTCGGAGCTGAACAGCCCCACTGGATGGATGAGAAGACCCAGACCAGGGGAGTTAAATGACTTGTCCAAGGTGACCTGGCAAGTTACAGGCTGAACTGGGATTGATCCCAGATCTACCCGGCCCTAAAAGTTATGCCCTTTCTCCTCCACTCACTTTCCTTCCAGGCCTGAGTTCCTTCCCTTCCTGATAGTGTGGTCGGTGCAGATCTCAGAACGTGTAAACCTGGTGACACCAGATCCGTCACTTTACAGTGAGTAAAGGAAGTACCCAGGGATCGGCTTACTAATTCTAGGGGCCGGTGAATTATTCATGCCACCATTAACTTGGAGGCCCTTTCAGCCTCACCTCTCTTTCCCTTGCTCCGGACCCTGAGATCCTGGCCTACCTGAGCTCGGCAGACCTGTGGGGGCCCCTGGTGAGGAGATGCTGGCAGAGTGGGGGGCTTGCCTGCTGCTGGCAGTGGCACTGCTGGGCCCAGGGCTCCAGGCCCAAGCCATGGAAGGTAGGCACTCTTGGGACAGACATGAACTGAGAGGGGAAGGAGGTGGGCAGGCAACAGCCAGGGGCTCAAGAAGTTTCTACATGGGAAGCCAGAAAGCAGGAGGTCCTTTTAGGGGACGTGGCTGAGTTGAGAATGTGTTTGTTCCTGAGATGGGGGGAGACAATATTGAGTGCCTGCCGTGTGTTGCATGTTTCACATGTAGGTTGCATTTAATCTGCACAACAAACTTCAAGGTGGATGTTAGTCCCCCATTTTCCAGATGAAGAAACTGAGGACTAGAGATATTAAGTAACCTGTCCAAGGCTACATGGTCACCAAGGTTGAAAGGAATGGCTCCAAAAACTATTAAAGGTTTATTGCTAAAGAGTCTTTTTTTTTTTTTGAGACAGTCTTGCCCTGTCGCCCAGGCTGGAGTGCAGTGGCCCTATTTCAGCTCACTGCAACCTCCACCTCCCAGGTTCAAACAATTCTCCTGTCTCAGCCTCTCGAGTAGCAGGGATTACAGGCATGTGCCACCACGACCAGCTAATTTTTGTATTTTTAGTAGAGATGGGGTTTCACCATGTTGGTCATGCTGGTCTCGAACTCCTAACCTCAGATGATCCACCTGCCTCGGCCTCCCAAAGTGCTGGGATTACAGGCATGAGCCACCGCACCCAGCCTATTGCTGAAGAGTCTTTATTCTCCTCCCGAGACCCTGCTGCCCATCCCACTGCCAAGCAAGTGAAATCAAAGTTCCTTCTTATGGTATTCAGTGCCCTCTGAGTGTGGGCTCCAACTTCCATATCGTATTGAGCCTCAGTTTCCTGCATCCCTTGGGCATCCCATGCTCTGGCAGGGGAATCACAACCCCTTCTGCTTCACCCTCAGGGATCTTAAGCCCTGCTGTCCCCTCTGTCTGGAAAGTCTTTTTTCCCTTTTTCCACCTGAGAACATCTGGCTCACCCTTCAAGCTCAGATCAAATACCACTCCCTCCGTCGGCCTTCCACATCCTCCATCAACCTCACATGCGCCTTCACTGGGGCTCCTGGAACCCTCTGCCTGCACTGTGGTCCCCAGTGGTTTTGTGCTGCTCTGGCCTTCCAAGCATTGTTTACCTGTCTGTGAAGCCGGGGTGATATCATTTCACCCTTCGGCAAGGCTCAAGTGGGGCTCAGGGAGGAATTGTACCTTGCCAGTCACCCAGTCACTGGCAGAGATGGGATGGGCACCCAAGCATCTCAACCCATGCCTGGGTGGTGGGAGGAGGTAGCTTTTCCTATTTTCTGGCCACTGGGGCTTAAGGGGCCTTGGGGTAACCCTGGACATCAGTGTGCCTGGCTGGGTCCTAGTGGACAAGGCCTCTGCTTATGCTGATGACTGGAGCCACCTGGGCTGTAGGAATTCCACTCTGATGCTCTGGCGCCTTTCCCTGCCCTGTGGGTAGGGCTGGGAGAAGGACAATAACAGGCATTGGACAGAATATCTATTTGTCCTTTTGCCATAAAGGCATGAATTAGATGCCATTCCTGCCCTGTCCCACCCCAAGAGCTAGGCAGAGAGCTGATAATGTGCATCTGTGCAGCCCTCACACAGCCTTTAGCTCATCAGTGCTCACAGTCACCCAGCAAGGGAGGCACCACTATCCCCATGTCACGGCTCACAGAGGCTAAGTGCACGTGCGTCTGGGCCTTTGTCTATGCCATTCCCTCCCTGAAAATCTTCCCCAACTGAAGAAACCTTCTCATTCTTCCTAGACAAACTCAAATATCACCCCCTCTGGAAATCTTGCCCCTCCTTGATACTGCTGGCCCCAGCAAGATCGGCTTTCCTCTCCCCGGACCCCAGAGCCCCTTTGTGGCCACAGTGCAATCACGCTGTGTGTTTTGTCTCATTTGCCTGACTCCCCCTGGCCCACTCCATGGTGAGCTTCCCACAGAGGGGCCCATTTTGAATCAGCACAAGCCTGGTACAGGGCACATGTTTAGCGAATGTGTCTTCTCTTATAGGGATTTGGTTAAGTGTATTCTTCAGGATGCTTTTGGTTGCAAGTGACAGAAACTCAACCTGGATGAGTTTAAGCAAAAAGAAGAATACATTGGCTCTGTAACCAGGGAGGCAGGAGGTAGCCGAGCTGGGCTCAGGGATGCCACAGCCAGAGCCTCTGGGCTCCAGGGCTACTTCCACTTCTCACATGGCTCTTCCAGTTCCCACAGGGGATTTTTCCTTAAGTCCTGAGCATAAATAATAAGAATTTTTTTTTTTTTTAAATGGAGTCTCACTCTGTCTCACCCAGGCTGGAGTGCAGTGGCGCAATCTCGGCTCAGTGCAGCCTCTGCCTCCCGGGTTCAAGCAATTCTCCTGTCTCAGCCTCCTGAGTAGCTGGGATTACAGACTCCCGCCAACATGCCTGGCCAATTTTTGTATTTTTAGTAGAGACAGGGCTTCACCATGTTGGCTGGGCTGGTCTCGAACTCCTGACCTCAGGTGATCCACCCACCTTGGCCTCCCAAAGTGCTGGGATTACAGGCCTGAACCACCACGCCTGGCCGTTAATAATTTTCTAAAAAATTTAAAAGAGTCAGATACCGACCAAATGCAATGTATGGACCTTGTTCCACCCCCAGGGCTCCCCCTCCCAGTCAAGGGACCAGAAAGGAAAGAACCCCTATCTGGGCATTCTGAGCAGAACTCTGGCCTAGCCTGGAGCACATGCTCACCCTGCGGGCCAGTCACTGTGGTGGTGGTGGGAGCCCCAAGACTCCCCAGCTAGAGTCAGGCGTCCACCCCTGGGTCAAGGAAGAGGAGGGAGGGTTACCACATGGAGGCAAGGAGGGGAGCAGTGTCTAAAAGAGGGAGCTATTGTTGCAAGAGGCAAAGGAAGTGGTATTGGGCAGACCCAAAGCAATAGATGTTCACTACAACAAGTGACTTCCCTTTCCCGGGCTCAGTTTTCTGATCTGTAAAATGGGTCAGTAGCACCTGCCCTGCCTAGTTCATGGGGCTGTTGTGAGGATTATATAAGATTATTCACTCACTCATTCATTCAGCAAATATACACTAAGCACCAGCTTTGTGCCAGGTACTGCTCTGGGTGCTTGCAATACGGTAGGGAGAGGCACAGAAATCCTTGCTCTCATAGAGAGCAGGATACTGAACCAAATCAATAAGTAAAATAAATAGCATGTTAGATCGTGACGAATTCTATGGAGAAGCATATAGCACTAAAGGGAGAGAAGGAGCATGGGCTGGGGAGAGGTTTTCAGGTGTAAATCAGGTGGTTAGGGAAGGCCTCGCTGAGAAGGTGACCAGGGATGTGCTGGTTATTTTGTTGACTTTTAATTATGAAAAATTTCAAACACACGCAAAGCACAGAAAATCATACAATGAATCCCTACGTCCCCATCAATCATCTTCAATAATTATCAACCTTCTGCCTTTCTTGTTTCTTTTATCCCACCCCAGCCCCATTCTGGGAGGTGTGGAGAAATCTAAAGCCTATCTCAGATGCCATATTATTTCACCCATAAATATGTCAGAATGTGTCTCTAACAGAGAAACACATAAAACTGTATATAACCTCAATACCTTTATCATGGTATAATAAGTGCTTAATTTAAAAAAATTTTTTTAGAGACAAGGTCTCTCTCTGTCACCCAGGCTGGACTACAGTGCTGTGGTCATAGCTCACTGCAGCCTCGAACTCCTGGGCTCAAGTGGTCCTCCTGCCTCAGCCTCTTGAGAAGCTGGGACCTCAGGAGCACTCCATCACTCCTGGCTTCATTCCTTAATTTATGTGCTAACTCAATTCATGTTCAGTTTTCCCCAACTATTGACCAAATATATATATATATAAAATAAATATATTATATATTATATATATATATATTTTTTTTTTAAACAATTCATTTGTTCAAATCAGAATCCAAACAAGGTCCATACATTGCATTTGGTTGATATTTGACTTTTATATTTTTAATAAAATTATTATTATTTGCAGAGACAGGGTCTCACTATGTTGCTCAGGCTGGTCTCAAACTCCTGGCCTCAGGTGATCCTTCTGCCTCGGCCTCCCAAAGTGCTGGGATTACAGGTGTGAGCCATGGCACCCGGCCTTGACTCTTTTAGTACAACAGTTGTGCCTCCTTCCCCCCTTTATCTTTTGTTGTTGAAGCCCCAGCGTCATTTATCTTATAGAACTTCCCACATTCTGGACTTGCCAAATATGTCCTCATGGAATTACTTAAAATGTTCCTCTAGCTTCCATATTTACTCTAACTGTAGACAGATCCAGAGACTTCCTGAGATTCATATTTCTTCATTTTTTTTTTTCAAGAAGAGATTTACTGGCCCGTGTTTCACTTGACACTTGTCTACATCAGTGGGTTCAGGGTTTGTTAGCCTGGTCTATTTGTTACAAAGTTCTCCAAATTAACTTTTTCAGTTTTTTTTTTTTCACTGTCAAATAGTCAGCTGAAGTGAATTTTTTTTTTCTTTTTTTCTTTTTTTTTAGAGGTTGGGGTCTTGCTATGCCTAGGCTGGTCTTGAAATACTGGGTTCAAGTGATCCTCCTGCCTCAGCCTCCCAAAGTGCTGAGGACACCTGGCTATATATTTTTAATTATAAAAATTTTTATTTGCCTGGCTTATTTGACCAGTAAAAAAAAATTCAAACATTTAGCAAAGTTGAAAGAATTTTACAGGGAATGCCTGTATAACCAAATCATGTTTTACCTTTCATCAACTTTTTACTCAGTGATTAGAACAGGGTTTGATAATGTTGTCTGGATCCATTATTTCATTAAGGCTTGGAAAGTATGATTTCCTTGTTTAAATTTTTTTTTTTAAATTTTGAGACAGGGTCTTTCTCTGTTGCCCAGGCTGGAGTGCAGTGGTTCCACCATGGGTCACTGTAGCCTTGACCTCCCAGGCTCAAGTAATCCTCCTGCCTCAGCCTCCCAAGCAGCTGGGACCACCAACATGCACCACCATGCCCGGCTAATTTTTAAATTTTTTTTGTAGAGATGGGGGTCTTACTATGTTGCCCAGGCTGGTCTCAAACTCCTGGACTCAAGTGATCCTCCTGCCTTGCCCTCCCAAATTGCTGGGATTATAGGTCTGAGCCATCACGGCCAGCCAAAATTATGTTTTCCTAGTGTTGTTATTCTTTCTGAAGTCTTCTATAAATAAGTTTTCCCGGCCGGGCACGGTGGCTCACGCCTGTAATCCCAGCAATTTGAGATGCCCAGGAGGGTAGATCAACTGAGGTCAGGAGTTCGAGACCAGCCTGGCCAGTATAGTGAAACCCTGTCTGTACTAAAAATACAAAAATTAGCTGGGCATAGTGGCAGTCACCTGTAATCTAGCTACTCAGGAGGCTGAGGCAGGAGAATTGCTGGAACCCAGGAGATGGAGGTTGCAGTGAGCTAAGATTGCACCATTGCACTCCAGCCTGGGCCGACAATAAGTTTTCCCTCACCATCTATTTAGTTGTCCAGAAATACAGTCCATATAGGAAAGGCCAAGTAGATGTTAAATTTCTATTATCAATTTCCTAAAAAAAATTGATAAATGAGTTAGTGCCTAGCAACCTCTAAAATAAACCAATGAGTTTCATTTCAATTTCTTTTGAGTTGCATTGTGAATTCTTGTTTTTATATATGTGATATGTTTCAATCCACTGCAAGCATTACTCTCTTTTGATGCTCGAATTGTACCTTCTTTAGCCAGTGGAAGCCATTTCAAGTAGGTTTCTGTGTCTTTTTTTTTTTTTTTTTTTTTTTTTTTTTGAGATGGAGTCTTGCTCTGTCACCCAGGCTGGAGTGCGGTGGCACAATCTCAGCTCACTGCAAACTCTACCTGCTAAGTTCAAGGGATTCTCATGTCTCAGCCTCCTGAGAAGCTGGGATTACAGGCGTGCACCACCACACCCAGCTAATTTTTGTATTTTTAGTAGAGACAGGGTTTCGCCATGTTGCCCAGGCTGGTCTCGAACTGGTGAGCTCAAACGATCCGCCCACTGGGATTACAGGCATGAGCCACTGCGCCTGGCCAGGTTTCTGTGTCTTTCCACACAATCTCAGCAGTCTTTGATAGCTTCTTTGCTGTTTGGCATGGCAAGATAACCAAGTATATTTTGTGTATTTCCTGTATTAAACCTGGTACCAGACATTGCTCTAAAGAGCCTTGTTCATCTTAGTTGAACATAAGAATCCTAATCGAAAGCCTAGAGGTGTAAAATGCTACTGGATTCTAGGCCTTCTTGGTAAACAGAACTAGGAAATAAATTTTTAAAACATAAAAATAATCAAGTTCACACTGATACTTTCAATTCAAATTAAGGATCACAAGAGTTTTACTTACTATTTTAAATTTATATCTCTCAGGCTGGGCGCGGTGGCTCATGCCTATAATCCCAGCACTTCGGGAGGCCAAGGCAGGCGGATAACTTGAGGTCAGGAGTTCGAGACCAGCCTGCCCAAAATGGTGAAACCCTGTCTCTACTAAAAATACAAAAATTAGCTGGGTGTGGTGGCGGGCACCTGTAATTCCAGCTACTTGGGAGGCTGAGGCATGAGAATCGCTTGAACCTGGAAGGCAGAGGTTGCAGTGAGCTGAGATAGTGCCACTGCACTCCAGCCTGGGCTACAGAGCCAGACTCCACGTAAAAAAAAAAAAAAAAATTATACTTACCACTCTTACACTGAAAATATTGGTTTCTATTGACATTAACTTACTTATTTGCTCTATTCTAATATATAATAATTGCAAAATGATATTGAATATTATTACTAATAGTAAGTTTACTGAATATACTTTAAGATGTTGTTGTGGTTCATTTTGTCCTTGAGATATATCCCACTAGGACTGTGTGGTCAAAATACTGTCTTTCAAAGTCATTTGAAATCATTTTTCCTCATGTGACTGTGTCTCCAAGTTGGTAAGATTCAGTTTATTTGTTTCAGTTTGGGATATTTAGGGGTTACTTAACTTTGTTTTGATCTCTTAAAATTATATAAAGTATTTTATATGCTTACACAGTGAAAATTATGAAACAGGGCACATTTAAGGAGATCCAGCCATCATGCCTGCTTCCTCCCCTCTTTTTACTACTTCCCCTGACAGAGAATTATTCTTATTAGTTTCCTTCCATTGTTTTCTTTTGTCAAACACAAGCAAATCAGCACATATAAAAATGTACTTTTAACATCGTAGTAGACTGTGCACATTTTCACTTGGGGAGGTTATTATTATTATTAATTTCAAAATAATGTTTTAATAATTAACTTAAATTCCCTACTGCATAATGTTTTAACTAAAATTCTCGGGCCCTGCCTGACACTTCCTGTCTCTTTTCCTGGCTTGCTTTTTCTCCATAGCTTCTCACAGTGTCATATACTATATATGTATTTCTTTTATTTTTTATTTATTTATTTTTTGAGACAGAGTCTCGCTCTGTTGCCCAGGCTGGAGTGCAGCGGCATGATCTTGGCTCACTGCAACCTCCGCCTCCCGGGTGCAAGCGATTCTCCTGCCTCAGCCTCCCAGGTAGCTGGGACTACAGGCGCGCACCACCACGCCTGGCTAATTTTTGTATTTTTAGTAGAGATGGGATTTTACTATATTGGCCAGGCTGGTCTCGAACTCCTGACCTTGTGATCTGCCCACTTCTGCCTCCCAAAGTGCTGGGATTACAGGCATGAACCACTGCACCTGGCCCCATAAACTCTATATTTTACCTGCTATGTTTATTGTCTGTCTTCCCTGCCAGAATGTAGGTTCCATGAGGGTAGGGGTTTTGTCTGTTTTGTTTCTGCTGTGACCCCAGCACCTAGAACAATGTCTAGCACTCAAACAGTATTTGTGGAATGAATACCAGCATGCTTGGTCAGCATCTGAAGAATAAGTAGATGCATGAGCAAATAAACACATGGCCATGTGTTCCCTCATCCCATCCCAAGAACCCAGCTTTGTAGCTGGGCCCACTGCCCTTACCACATGTACCCAAGACCCCAGCACGGAGTCTCAGCCATACTTCTCTCTTGCCCCAGGTGTCAAATGTGGGGGTGTGCTCTCAGCACCTTCTGGAAACTTCTCCAGCCCCAACTTCCCTAGACTGTACCCCTACAACACAGAGTGCAGCTGGCTGATCGTGGTGGCCGAGGGATCCTCGGTGCTGCTCACCTTCCATGCCTTTGACCTAGAGTACCACGACACCTGCAGCTTCGACTTTCTGGAGATCTACAATGGGGCCTCACCAGACAAGGGCAACCTGCTGGGGAGGTTCTGCGGCAAGGTGCCCCCGCCGCCCTTCACCTCCTCCTGGCATGTCATGTCTGTCATCTTCCACTCGGACAAGCATGTGGCCAGCCATGGCTTTTCTGCGGGCTACCAGAAAGGTCAACGGGGGGCCTTAGGGACCTGTTGCAGTGGCTCACACCTGTAATCCTGGTGCTTTGGCAAGCCAAAGTGGGAGGATTACTTGATCCCAGGAGTTCAAGGGGGGATTTGGCAGTGGAGGAGCTGGCCCTGGGGTGGAGATGGGAAGATAGCAGCAGGGCTCAGGTGAGACCTACAGGGTCTCAGCATCTTGGCACGTAGGCTGCTCTGTAACCTGCAGGACCCAGCTCTCATGCATAGTTTATAAGGCAAAAGCAGCCTCCTCACTGTTCATGACCATGCTTGTAGCTGGGGTTCCCACCTTCATGGCAATGCTCCCCATGCCGCCTCCGTTTCTCCTAGAGTCGTCAGAGGGTCGCACTGCGCTCAGGAATGAGGCTCTCATGCTCTACTACCCTTGTCATTCTTGTCCTGTGTCATGGCATAAGGCCACAGGAGAGGACACCACTGCTGTTGGGGCCTTCTGCAGCATCCCACCACTTCACGGCTTGGGAATCCTTGCCTGAGTTCCCACACGAGGGTCTGGGTGGAGCTAGTGGCTGTTATATCATGTGTCCCTAACCCCTCTCTCCTTCAACCAGGCTTGACACCTGCCTCTCAGTCTAGTGAGGGAGAGGAGGCCTTGTTCTTCTTGCCTTTCTCTTTCACTCACTCATCCTTGTCTCCAGGTTCTGTGCAAAGGCTCAAATCTCCTGCTTCCTCCCAATGCCAGAACCAAAGACCTCACTGATGTTAACTCAAACAGTAGACACCCACAGAGGCTACTGGTTCCCAGGGTCCGCCAACAGCAATCCTGGGGGACTCAGGTGGGACCCCAGTCACTGCTGCATTTGGAAGGATAGAATTGTAGAATGCCACAACACAAGAACCATAGGCTGATCTAATCATAGTTTTGGAATTTTAGACCCTTAGATTTGTAGAATGTTAGGATATCAAAGTCTTAATACCATCAGCCACATTTCCTAACATTTTTAAAAACAGGAATACCTTTATGTCAAATGGAACCTTATGTTAATCCCCTATATTTAAAAAAAAAAAAAAAGATAAAGGCAATAAAAAATAAAGGCAATGTTTTAGTGGTATGCATTTATTCTGTAAGTTCTTTTTTGTTTGTTTGTTTGTTTTGAGATGGAGTTTTGCTCTGTCATCCAGGCTGGAGTGCAGTGGCACAATCTTGGCTCACTGCAACCTCTACCTCTCGGGTTCAAGCCATTCTCCTGCCTCAGCCTCCCAAGTAGCTGGGATTACAGGCGCGCGCCACCCACCATGCTTGGCTAATTTTTGTATTTTTGGTAGAGACAGGATTTTGCCATGTTGGCCAGGCTGGTCTCAAACTCCTGACCTCAAGTGATCCACCCGCCTCGGCCTCCCAAAGTGCTGGGATTACAGGCGTGAGCCACCATGCCCAGCCTGTAAATTCATATTTTAACTTCTTATAAGCCAGTCATTAAAAACACAAGTAAATATTGATGGCCTCTAATGAGTTAAATTTTTAAATGTAGAATATTTAAATTTTAATATCTTGTTAAAGATATTAAAGTCTGTGGGTGCTATCTTTTCATTACATTAAAAGAGAGCTTGAAATACAGCATAAGAATGAAATTTGCACCAGGTGCCAGCAGGTGCTCCAGGGGGCTGCTGGGGAGCCCCAGGGCACAGTTGGGAAGTCTCCGCGAAGGTTGTTAGTGTTGGAAGGGATCTCACAGGCTATCTAAACCTGCCCTCTCATTTCACAAAATCTGAGTCCCTGAGAGGGCCTTCCTAAAGTTACATGGCTGGGCCAGCACTGGGAAAAGACGCCAAGTCCTTAGATGCCCCATCCAGAGCCCTGGTCACACAGCCGTGCCATAGGGCGAGATGCTGGAGTCTCAGGAAACACATCCCACGTATGTCCTCCCTGCTGGTGACCTCCAGCAAGTCGCAGCATTCACCCACACTTGCCGTGTAGTTGTACTGGCCAAGCTGGCTTCCTGAGAGTTTCCAGCAGCATATTTTCAGACTGTGCTCAAGTCTGAGCCCAGTGGATCAAGCTGGTTCAGTCTTATGATTTCTAATGTTCCAATGAGGCTCAGAGAGGCTGGGTTACTTCCCTAGAGTCACACAGCTAATAAAAGGCAGAGATGGGAGACTACTTGTCTTCAGATGTCAAACCAAGCTCTACTTCATCAGGTCCTCTCTCTAAGTCTTGGTTTCCTCATCCATTAGGGAGGTTTGATCACATTCCTGAGCTCAGGCACCTCAGCCTCTGTGCCCCACTGGCCTCGTAGGAGTGGACAGTGAAGGTCACAAGGGTCAAGTGCACAGGATCCATAGTTAGTCTTCCTGGGTTCAAATCCCACTTTCCCAGTTACCAGTCGGGTGACCTGCTCTCAGGGCCCTGACCACATTCCCTGGGCCCTGCCACGTCGATGTGCTTCTGCCAACCTCCACAGTTCTATGCTGGAGGGCTTTTTTCTGAAGTCTCAGTAGGGCACTCCCAGCCCACAGCAGCCCTCTGCCTGCACTCTGGGGAGTTGGCATGTAAATGCCGCAGCTCCCTTGCTCCTAGATTGACAGAACTCTGAAGTATGTGCTTTACCCCGTCCCCAGAGTTCCCCCCAAGGTCAGCAGCTGACTTGAACACACCTCCCCTTCTCTGTCCTCTCCCTCCCTCCCCACCTGGGGGCCCCTGGATCTCCCAAGTAAACTCCTTGCACTCAAATCCTTATCTCAAGGTCTGCCTGGGTGAACTCAAACTCAAGTAAGCTACTGAACTTGTCTTTGCCTCCCTTTTCTTAATTATAAAATCAGAGAAACTGCAGCACAGTCCTTGTGCGGCTACTCTGAGGATTTGAACAGGCAGCATAGGTGCCAAATGCTGGGCCTGAGCACGTGCTACACTTGCTACTTGGGTAGCAGGTGCTTGCTGGATGGTAATGAGGCCCTAATGAGATACCTGTGGGGGCAGCATGTTGGAGTGTCTTGTTCCCAAGGGAGGAAACTGGGAGCCACAAGGAGAAAGAAAGGTCAGCTCAAGTGGGCTCCCTTGCAGATGTGTGTGGCGGCGTCCTGACTGGCCTGTCAGGGGTCCTCACCAGTCCTGAGTATCCCAACAACTACCCGAACAGCATGGAGTGCCACTGGGTGATCCGGGCCGCTGGCCCTGCCCACGTCAAGCTGGTGTTCGTGGACTTCCAGGTGGAGGGCAATGAAGAGTGCACCTATGACTACGTGGCTGTGCTTGGGGGGCCTGGCCCCACCCGTGGGCACCACTACTGTGGCAGCACCAGGCCCCCCACCCTCGTGTCTCTGGGCCACGAACTGCAGGTGGTCTTCAAGTCCGACTTCAACATCGGAGGCCGTGGCTTCAAGGCCTACTACTTCTCAGGTAGGAGGGGCTGGCGCTCCACCCTGAATCCTCCTGTGCCTACTGGGCTCCTGTCTCCCCATTACACTTGCAGGGGTCACACCTTTCTGCCCCCCGCAGCCTTGAGCTTTCTGCACTCTCTCTGCCTGGAATGCTCTAGCATACCCTTGGCCTATGCCAAGACATAAGCATGTCACCTCTGCGAAGACTTACTGTTTTACCAGAATTAATCCTTTTTTCAACTCCTTATATAAGTTTTTTACACTATGATCTAACATTTGTCACTTCTGTGTGTGGTTTGCATGTCAATCTCCCCTGTCTGACTGAGTCCCTTATGGGCTTATCTTTGTACCTGGCACATAGTAGGTACTCAATTTTCGTACAAATGAATGGATGAAGTCGTGGGAACTTTACAGTCTAGTTAGAGAGATTATAAGGAAACAGACAGCGCAAGCCATTATGATCTGTGCTATCCATCAGTAAGAATCATGGATGACTTCGTGGAGAAGAGAATTGAGCAGTACCCTGAAGGAGTTAGACGGAAGCAGAAGGGAAGGGCATTCCAAGCAGGAGGAACAGCATGTGCAAAGGCCTGGAGGGCAGAGAGTGTTTGGTATGCTCATAGTACATACCAAATGGGGCAGTGAGAAAAGGGGAAAGGCCAGGCATGAACCACATCATCTGTCAAGCCAGGGAGTTCAGAGGTAACTCTGAGGACAGGTATTGTGTATTATTATTGAATTCCTAACAGGGCCTACACCTGTGAAGGGGACTGTCAACTGGAATGCAAGTCCCAGCTTTCAGCTAGTTGCAGTTTAAAACAAGCTTTGGGATCAAGCATCCCAACTTTCAGATAGTTGGGATCAATTGTCTGGTGTGCTAGCCATGGTGCCCACAACCTGCTGGTGGTTTTTGGACCACTGTGGCACCTGCTGCCTAAGCTGTAACTGCAGAGAGTGACTTCTCCTCTCCCCTCACTGTTGCTCCTTCCACCTCCCCATCCCCCATCCAGGAGAATGCCAGGAGGTATACATGGCCATGCGGGGCAACTTCTCCAGCCCACAGTACCCCAGCTCCTACCCCAACAACATCCGCTGCCACTGGACCATCCGCCTGCCCCCGGGCTACCAGGTCAAGGTGTTCTTCCTGGACCTGGACCTGGAGGAGCCCAACAGCCTGACCAAGACCTGTGACTTTGACCATCTGGCGGCCTTCGATGGGGCCAGCGAGGAGGCACCCCTGCTGGGGAATTGGTGTGGACACCACCTGCCACCACCCGTGACCTCAAGCCACAACCAGCTTCTGCTTCTGCTGCACACAGACCGCAGCACCACCCGCAGGGGCTTCTCTGTGGCCTACATCGGAGGTCAGCTGGGCTGTGGGAGTGGGTCCACTGAGGGCGAAGGGGAGGCTTTGCAGCCTCAGTCTTTGCAGTCTCCTTCCTCCATCCCACCAGTTTGTCCTGCCCCCCCCATGAATGGTCTTCTCCAGCTCCTTCTCCATTGGCTACACCCTTGCCCACTCTCGGGACCCCTAAGACTGGACGGTACGGCTCCCGCTTGTTTCCACTATTGCAGAGCCTCCTTCCCCAGCTTCTAACTTCGTGAGTCCTCACCCCTCCCCATCTGGTTCCTTCCCCCTGGGCCCCTGGCCCCTCTTGTGTTGTTATTGGTCCCCTGTATCCAGGGGAAATAGACAAAATATGGTAATATTGTTTATGGCAAAAAAATTGGTATAACTGTGGGGATGTCTACCAGCCCTGCTTGTATCATTCAGAACTACTCATTGAAAACATGGTGCTTGTTTTTCCTCACTCAACAGGAAGCCTGGAGCTAGGCAGCTGCTGTATTGGTCCAGGGGCTCAACACTGTTCCAAATGTTATCTCTGGGACTCTCTGAGCCTCACAGCTGCAAGATGGCTGCCATAGCTCCAGGCATCGCATCCATGTTCAAGACTGGAGGGGACAGGGGAAGTGCCAGCTGCAAATGGCTCTTTATCAAGAAAGCAAAAGCATCTCTAGAACCTCTCATAAGACTTTTACAAAATGTCCCATCAGTTTGAACTCAGTCAGATGGCCATGCCTGGCTGCAGAGGAAGCTGGGGAGCTGGTATTTGGCTTTCTCAGGCTCCATATTATTGTTTAGATTTGTCAACCAAGAGGGTCCACCATTGCTCCCCTCCTCCCACCCTTCCTTGTCTATGGGCCCAGAAATACCTGCACTCTGTACCTATTGTGCCCTCTTCCTGGCCAAGCAAAGCTCCTCGTTGTGCAGGTATAGCAACAGAGGTGCTGAGAGGGAAAAGACTTCATTGTGACCACATAGGGAGTCAGTGGCACAGCCAGGATTAGAACTTACTCTCCTGCCTTCTTCTTGCTTGTTTGAGAGGGGCACGAGGGAGGGGAGTCCAGAGCTAAGCTCAGAGAGACCAGGGTCACATCCAAATGCTGCCATTTACTTATCATCCAAGAGGGCTCATCTGTAAAAGAGGTTGATGAAGGCCCTAGACAGGTGGTCATGAAGGCCAAATGAAGTAACAAGGTCACAATGCCTGGATCCAAGGACAGCTTTCCTTCAGGAAGGTGTCTCAGGCCCGTTCAGCATTCAAAAGATCTTTCCTTGCTCCATATGCAAGGGGAGTTGGGGCCAGGAATGGAGGAGATGGTGATCTGCAGCAAGCTTGCGGCAGAGCCGTGAACTTGGGCAGGCCAGCCCCTTCGGGCCTTAGTGGGCTCCACATGCAAGCTGGGGTGGGAGAGCTGTGGCTCTGTTAGCACAGCCCTGGAGAGCCCAGCTCCATTGGCTATGCCTCCACTAGCTGGCATGGCCCCATGTCTCTGTGGGCCTCAGTTTCTCCACCTGTAAGATGAGGATATTGACAGAAAGATCTTTAAAGTTCCTTTTGCCTCTGATAGTCTTATTTCCAGAACTCTCCCAGGCCCTCTCCCAGCCCTGTGTGATTTAGGACAAGCCCCTTCTGCAGAGAAGGAGAGGAAGTTAGCGGGGGTTCTTATCCCAGCTCCTGTTCCAGGGGCTTCGGGGCAGGAGTGCCCACCCCCCACTCCACCTCACCTCCCTCCCCCTCAGATCCTTGTGGGGGCCCAGGGGCAGACAAGGGCACTCACACTGGGCGAGGCTCCAGATGTGGCCCAGGCTGCAGGAGGCCTCCCCACTGGGAGGGCAGCCACAGTGCCAGCTGGGGGTGACACACAGTTCAGCACCACCGAGATCATCGTGGGAGATGGCTGGCCCATAAATCCCCGACTGCCCAGACACCAGAGGCTGAAATATGTCTGAGGCATTTCCCGGAGAGGGGTTGAGAGTTCCAGGCCTCTGCCTGCCAGCTCTCTTTCCTTTTCCTCCCACCAGGCAGTTGCCTTCATTTCCCCTATCCTCACCCCTGCCCCCGCATGCACACACACACACACACACACGCACACACACACACACACACATGCTCACCCAAAGCAGACATTTTGAGTCATGTGCACACTGTCCTGGCCAGGAGGGCTGCAGGAGCCTGCTGAATAGGGCAAACAGACCACGAACTCTGAAATCCTGTCGACCCGGTTGGCCACTGCAAACAACTTCATCTCTCAGAGCATCCATTTCCAAACCTGTAAAATGAGTTTAGTCACATCCACCTCCTGGGGTCATTGTAGGGAGGGAAAGTGAGGCTTCCCTTACCACCCTTTTTAAAACTGAAGCTCTCCTTCCTCATTCCTCCCCAGTTCCGATTCGCTCTACTCTCCCGCTGTTTCTTCTTTGCTAGATTTTCCTTTGGGGCACGCTGACACGTGGGTGTATTTTACATTTATTGCCCCCTCCCCCATCTAGAATGTAAGCTCCACAAGGCAAGAATTTCAGCTGTGTTTTTTCCTCATTTTTGTATTTGTGGTGCTGAGAATAGGACCTGAACATAGCAGGCCATCAATATATTTGTTAAATAATTGAATGAATTGCCTGGCACATGGCCAAGTGATTAGCAGATGAATTTTTATAATTATTAAGAACATTCATTCATTCACTCAGCATTCACTGGGCCTGCCAAGCTCTGTGCTGGGCCCAGAGGACGCTGAGAGGATCAAACTTGGTGCCTTCCCTGAGGAGCTCACAGTCTGATGGAGGTGAACAGAGTAACCCGTATAAGATATCCCACACTGTGCCCTGTAGGATTCCGTAAGAGCTTTTCCTACTCTGGGCCTCAGTTTCCCCATCCACCACCCTTTGTGGGAGGGTAGGGGGTGTTGGGGAGGTGAGGGTCAGACCGCCTGACCCTAAGGCTTCCAGCTCCTCCCTCCGATTCCCAGTGGTGCCCATGAACGTGAGCTGCTCCCGCACGGACTTCCAGATCCTGATCTCCACGCAGGCGCTGGCCCCGCTGGAGCGGACCAAGGTCTACCTGGGCAGCCGGAGCTGTGCCGCCCAGGAGGTCGGCGGCAACCTCAGGATCCAGGCCCGCTTTGATACCTGCGGCACTGAGTCTCAGGTAGGGGCTGGGGGAAGGGGCAGTCACAAGGGAGGGACTCTGACCCTGCTGAAAGGCATCTCACATTCCTGAAAATTCAGCTTCTCCTGGCTCTGGGGGCCACACAGGCCTGGATGCAGAGCTAACCCCTTCTTGGCTTTACTTACCTCAACCAATTTGCTTAGGGTAAATGTAGCAAAGAACTCCAATAGGAGAGACAGAGGAGAGGGTGTCCCTCTGGTTCCCAGCTCTCTTCCTTTTCTCTTCCCAGCTCTCTTTCCTAACCCCAGCTGCTGCTGCTTAACCCCACAGCAACCTAAAGACGCTACCGGTCACTCCTGCTACAGGGTCCCTGCTGGCTGAGCTGCCAGCAGTTATTCTTTGCTGTTCCTCCCCTTTCCCTTCAGTGCTCCCCAAGGACCCTGAAGACCTCACCCCTTTAGTATGCAGAGCTGTGTGGGAGCCCTGCTTCTCCCACCCATCCCCAACCTGGTGATCCAAATCCATTCCTGGGCTCCACAGCACAAAAGGCCCTTTCAAGGCACAGGATTCCCTCCCTCAAAAGGCTGTGAGCCTTACAAGTCCATTTTCCCTACTATCCTTGTATTTTGGAGGCCGTGAACCCAGACTTAGGGCCCTCACAGAGTCACTGGGCAGTGGCTCAAGCACCCTGGATATTTGTATGCTTAGGGACAGGTCAGGAAGTGGGGTATGGAGAAAAGGAACAGTGGCCTCTGTTGGAAAAACTCTCTGGCCTTGAAATCCAGGGGCTTTGCAGTCTGACTTAGCAGAAATTATGTGCTTTCCAGCAAACCCTCCCCCGCCTCCCAACATTAGCCACATGTATGCCTCTGGCCCCTCCAGGCCACCCTCTGCCTGCCCCAGCCTCCTGGCAACCACCATCCTTTTGACCTGAGAAGAGAAGGAGGGTAGGGGGCCAGTCCTGGCTGCCGAGGTATTCTGCCCTCCCCCTATTCCATGCCCTAAGTCTCCCAGAGCTTTTGTCTGGGACAGAACCACATTCCATAAAGTCATGGAATGACGGAGACAAAGAATCCGAGAAGCAGGGACTCAGGAAATCCTAGAACCAATGACTCATAGACACTCACTGTCTCATAGTCACAGAACCACCACCAGAACTCAGATCCACAGAACCATGAAATCTTGGGGTCAGTATCTTGGAAACATAAAATCAGAAAACCTTTGATTCATGGATTATTAGTGTAACCCTTATAAATAAATCCTAGACCCTCAAAGGATCAGTCTTTGCATAGAGTTGCTTTGGAAGATACGCAGCTCAAACGGCTGACAGCAATAAAAAGTAATGCCAATCTTTACGTGCAACTCTTTAAAAACATTAGAGACTTGACTCCCTCCACAGCCATCAGCAACCCATGTTGTGTGGCTTTTCTTTCTTTGTCAAGTCTGTCACTCATCAAAACCCCCTAAAGCTTCCCCCCACCCCCATTCTCTGATTTTTCCCTCCCTTCCTTATTATGTAGATTTACTTTAGCCTTTCACTGGGTCCCCTTCCACTCTCAGGAGTCTTTCTTTCCCCAGTGTCCTGATTCTATATCCCAAAAATCCAGGGCACAAGTTCTCAGATGGGAGCAGGAGCTCCTCTGGGGACATGGCCTTTTGGAAGCCCAAAGTTGGAATAGACACATAAAGTCACCTAGTCCATAAAACTGATTTGTGACCAGCCTGGTCAACATGATGAAACCTCGTCTCTACTAAAAATACAACAATTAGCTGGGCATGGCGGTGAACTCCTGTAATCCCAGCTACTCAGGAGGCTGAGGCATGAGAATCGCTTGAACCCGGGAGGCAGAGGTTGCAGTGAGCCAAGATCATGCCACTACACTCCAGCCTGGGCAACAGAGCAAGACTCTGTCTCAAAAAACAAAACAAAACAAAAAACAAACAAAAAAAACCACATGAGAACCCTCCTGATTTGTGACACCTGTTCAACCCTTCCCCAAAAGGGTCACCCAGTCTCTGGTGCTGGGGACTTCCTACTATTCACGGCTACTGTGACTCTGCTAGGCAGCTTTGATTTTTAGAAGCGTCCTCTCAGGAGTGCTACTTGCTAGATGGGGCCAGTTAGGAAACCCTGAAGAAGGCAGTGGCTGCTGCAGATTGGGCGTGGTTGGGAGAGTAGTTCTGCATCACTGCTGACCACGCCAGACTGCCCATCACAATGCTGCCCTCCAGCCTGGGCCTGCAGGCCCATTGTCTCAGGGCCACTCGACTCCTTCATCTGAGGTGGGGAGGGCAGCAGGGTGCCAGGCCCCCACATCTTGTTCCTCGATGGCTCTTCCCAACACTAGGCTGCTGTCCCTGGGGTGGCCAGGGGCTCAACGGCAGGATACCTACTGCAGATATCATCGGGAGAAAAGGCTGCAGGGGGAAGCCATACAGCACCGGGGACAAAGCTCCTAAGGTGGAGGCAGGAGACTTGGCTTCTCTAGCTCTGGGCAAGTCATCGCCCTTCCAGGCCTCAGTAGTCATGTCTGTAAATTTGCCAAGGATGGGGGATTGGAGTCGATGCTTTGAAAAGCCCCCTTTGGTTCTATATTCTTTTGTTTGAGTGAGGTGTGATGGCCAAGAGCACAGTTAAGAGTTGGGCAGATCTGAGTGAGAATATGGGCTCTGTCACTTGTATGCTGTGTGACCTCAGGCAAGGGATTTAACCTCGGGGCCTTAGTTTCCTCCTCTGTAACATGGGGTTTTTTTTGTTTGTTTGTTTGTTTTTGAGATGGAGTCTCACTCTGTCCCACAGGCTGGAGTGCAGTGGCTCGATCTCAGCTCACTGCAAGCTCCACCTCCCGGGTTCATGCCATTCTCGTGCCTCAGCCTCCCGAGTAGCTGGGACTACAGGCGCACACCATCACGCCCGGCTAATTTTTTGTATTTTTAGTAGAGATGGGGTTTCATGGTGTTAGTCAGGATGGTCTCGATCTCCTGACCTCATGATCCGCCCGCCTTGGCCTCCCACAGTGCTGGGATTACAGGCGTGAGCCACCGCACCCGGCCACATGGGGGTTTTAGTGGTACCAATAAGAGAACATTGTTGTGAGAATTAAATAAGATACTTAAAATATAGAGCCTGGACCATGGTAAATGGCCCCAGAACATTAGCCAGAGAAACACTGGCACCAAATCTGATATCGTCCTTCCAGACAGCTTACCTTCACGGTACTCCTTTTACAGATGGGATCACTGAGGCTCAGAGTTAGGACTAGAACACAGGCTCCTCGGGCTCTGCCCCCCTGGTACTGAGAACCCCACATATATAGGGAAACAAGTTCAGCCCAAGCTCCTTCAGGTGTGATGAGTACCCTGTGACCCCACAGAGAAGAAACAACACTTCAGTGATTGTCAGCGTGCTGTACATCGACTTCTCAGCCGCGGGGCGGGAGGACATCCATGAGTACGAGGTCCGCTGTGAGCCACGGCGCAAGGAGGCTTCTGTCCACCTGCTGTCTGGCTCTCACTGGCTGGGGCCCTATGCTGCCACTGCGGAGCACCTTCAGGAAGCACCACCCATGGATGAGGCGGAGGCACTGGAGGGCCCAGTGAGCATGGTGGCCCAGGATACCAGTGACATCGTCTTCCTGGGCCTTTGCATCCTGGCTGGAATCCTCATGGTTATTGCCATCGTGGTCTTGATGCTGCTTTGAATAGACAGCATAGGGACCTGGCATCTGACATGCCTGGGAGGCAGCTTAGGGACCCATAACAGGGGTGGGACGGGGACTTGCTGACTTGGTGACCATTGGCAGGTCATATCCCTCTCTGAGCCTCCATTTCCTAGGGACAGTCATTCTGCCCTGCTATCTCACAGGGCTGGCATGAGGCTCAGAGGCGGGCAGAGATGGATAAGAGCTTTGTAATCTGTAGCATGCTGTGTATGTATATGCAATTGCTGTTATTAATTTTAAAGATATTCTGCTGTAGAAAAGAACTCTCCCACGTGTGTTACTTGTCAGTTTGGATAGTTGTGGTCACTGGTGGCAGAGTGTAGATAAAACTGACTCATTCTATAGCTTATATGGGTGCTTTACCAACTCAGGGTACAAACAAAGGCACCACTAATTTTCCTCCCTCCCTCCCTCCCTCCTTCTTTTCTTCCTTTCTTCCTTCCTTCCTTTGTCTCTCTTTCTTTTCTTTTCTTTTCCTTCGAGACAGAGTCCTGCTCTATTGCCCAGGCTGGAGTGCAATGGCACAATGTTGGCTCACTGCAATCTCTGCCTCCCGGGTTCAAGCAATTCTCCTACCTCAGCCTCCCGAGCAGCTGGGATTACAGGCACCTGCCACCACACCTGGCTAATTTTTGTATTTTTAGTAGAGATGTGGTTTCACCATGTTGGCCAGGCTGGTCTCGAATTCCTGACCTCAGGTGATCCACCCGCCTCGGCCTCTAAAAGTGCTGGGATTACAGGTGTGAGCCACTGCACCCAGCCTTATTTTTCCAATTAATTGCTCATCTTAGACCTTCATTAGCAGGAAGCTAATGAAGTATCCATCCAGGGGCCTTCACCATCCTGAATTGACCCAGGAACCCTGGGAACTTTGTCTAAAGCAAGCTGTCTCTGCCTCCAAACTCCAGGAATAGAGAAAGGGAGCCGAAGTCCCATCCAGTGCCCTCACTTCAGCCCCTGCCACATGGTGTCAGTGTTGAAGGCTGGACCTGCACATCTTGGCAGACGCTTGTCCGTGGAGGTGGCGATGCCCTGCTGGGTCACAGCCCCATATAAACCGCGGCAGGCCACACACTGTGCTCAGTCGTGAGATTGGAGCTGAAGGCTGGTGTCTCTCTTTCATGTTGGAGTTTTTCCTTAAATGTCTGTGATCCTTGACAAAAGCTGATTGAAGTCCCACACGTCTCTGTCCTTGCCCCTGATGCCAAGCTCAGATCACCAGCCCATCTTTGCCCTCCAGAGGAGTTCTCTTTGGAGCCCTCTGTACCCTCTCCTGCCTTTGGACTTCAGTCAGAGCTACTCCAGTCTACTCAGAGCTACTCCAGTCTACCCACATTTTCTAAGTTCATATCACAGGGAGCTGGGGTTGGGTTTCCTCATGAGAAGACCTCTGGGATTATTATACAAATTGATCCATCCTTCTCAGAGCTCTTCTTGACACCAAGAAGTGAAGCAATCTTATTAATGAAAAATAAACAAAAAAATGCATTTATAATACACCATTTTCCCCCTGCTCGTCTTTGTATTTGCGTAATGATCACTCCGGAGAGTCCTTTCACAATAGCAGAAATCTCCAGATTGACCATGCTGCCCACTGGCATCAAGTTAAAAAAACTATGGCCCAATTACAATTCACTCAACAACCCAACAAGCATCCACTGGATTCCAGATTTTGTGTCTGTTGCTGTGGCAGAGGCTCCAGGCACACAGCAGCACACACGCCAGATGAGATTCCTACCTGCAAGGCGTTTGGTGTGGGAGAGCAGAACTGCGGAGGGAGAGGGACAGATGCTTTGGTAACTTGGAAAAAAAATGACGAAGAGCCAACAAAGTAAGAAATGAATTAAGCAAGGGAAAAAGTTGCCTGGACATTAGGAATTAAAATGGGTTCAAGTCCAACTGGAAGAGTTAGAAATGGGTTTAAGCTCTTCTAGTGAATTAGGGACTTTTGTCAGGGTAGGTGTGCCGGCGGGAGAGTCTTGAATCTGCCCTAGGGTGTTGGGAGTAGAGCCCCCTTCTTCTTTCTCTCCTACCCACCTTCTCACTGTCAGTCTTGAGCCAGGTACCTTCAAGCAGTTACCTTCACCAGCCAGGTACCTTCATCTTCATGAGCCCATTTCCTTCTGTGGCTCAGTTTTCTTTTTTTTTCTTTTTTTTTCTTTTCTTTTCTTTTCTTTTCTTTTCTTTTCTTTTCCTTCCTTTCTTTCTTTCTTTCTTTTCTTTCTTTCTTTCTTTCTTTCTTTCTTTCTTTCTTTCTTTCTTTCTTCTTTCTTTCTTTTCTTTCTTTTTCTCCTTCCTTCCTTCCTTCTCTTTCTTTCTTGTTTTGACGGAGTCTCACTTTATTGCCAGGCTGGAGTACAGTGGCACAATCCCGACTCACTACTACAACCTCTGCCTCCCAGGTTCAAGCGATTCTCCTGTTTCAGCCTCCCGAGTAGCTGGGATTACAGGTGTACATCTGGCTAATTTTTGTATTTTTAGTAGAGATGAGTTTTCGCCATGTTGGCCAGCCTGATCTCGAACTCCTGGCCTCAAGTGATTCGCCTGCCTTGGCCTCCCAAAGTGCTGGGATTACAGGCGTGAGTCATCGTGCCTGTCCTTGGCCTCAGTTTTCTTATTGGCAAAATGTGACAAACATCATACCTTCAGCACCATCACTGTCCTAGCTACCACCTCCTAAGCACCGACTATGTGGCAGATGTTTAACATGGCTCCCCCAAGGTCACACAGCAAATCAATGGCAAGGCTGGGCCTAGAACTTGGGTTTCTAAGTCAGAGCTTTTAAGTGGACTCACAGGTCCATGGTAATAATCTCGTTTAAGACACTTTGCAAGTTAGCCCTAATTGCCCCCATTTTACAGATGGGGAAAGTGAGGCTCTGGAAGGGTAAGTGCTGTGCCCAAGGTCATATGGCTATGGAATGTTGAAACTTAGTTCTTCCCTGAACTGGGGGCATCGTGCAGCAGGCTGGAGCCTCTTGGGATCCCAGGCCAGTGCCCTCAAATGCAAGGGCTGTGTCTGGTTGGGAAAGGATTGAAATAGTAGAGAATGAGAGGATGGTTTTATCTTCACAGATGTGCCCAAATACTGACATTCCCAGCCCTCCAGGCAGCCAGCATGTTGATTATCTGTGTGAGCTGTGGAAAATGATAGTCTTTATGACAGCACAGTGTCTATTAGAAATGAAAGGGCTGAAATGATACCCATTAGCCAACATGCCCTGGCCCTGGAAGAGTGTCGGGCACGGCGGGCACGGCACAGCTTGCTTGCTCACCTACCAATTTTCTCTTTTCAGAGTGAGGGGCTGTGGAAAGAGCCAGGCTTGAACCCCAGCTCCCTCCCCATAGGCTGTGTGACCACGGGACATGCCAACCCTTGAATGGGAGCTTTGGATCCTGCTGCCGGCTTGTCCCAGCAAGGCTGATGTCACTGAGGAAAGGGTCCCTGGCAAATGGATGCATTGGTCTTGGGAAAACACTCTCCAGGCTGCAGGTCAGGCAGACTTGGGATCATTTCCAGTTCTTTCCCTGACTCTGTGTGACCTTGGGTAGGTTGCTTAACCTCTAAGTCTTGGTTTCCTCATGTGTAGGATGGGGGTAGAAACACCCTCCTCACCAGATTATCATGAGGATTAAGTGAGAGAACATAGAGAGAGCACCCAGCGCAGGGCTTCCCCTGGATGGATCAGGAAATGGTTGGCTGGTGGGCTCTGGCCTGGGTAAGGGCTTCCCTGAGGAGTCCTCATATCCCAGAGTTGGGAGAGGCCTAAAAAGAAAGCAAGTCCCCACCCCATCCCCTATCCCACCTCCCAGCTTCCCTGCTGTTTTCCAACAGACCAAGGCTGTTTCCACCCACAGTCCTCCACATGGAATGTCCTTCCACCACAGCGTCTCCTGACTCGGCCCCTTCATGTCCCTTTCTACTCACGTGACCCCCCGACCACTTACCTAAAATAGCATCCCCAGCCTGTCCCTGGTACCCCTTTGCTTTTCTTCATTTCCTTCCTAGCAGGCATCACTATCTGAAATGCCATTAGCTGTCTGCTTCTGCTTGTCTATGCTTGATTCCCCTCACTGCAAAGCCAGCTTCGTGAGGCTATCTTCATCTTGTTCACCCCTGCCACCCAATGAGTATCTGTGGTTGAATGAGTGAATGAATGGATGGATTCGACTTCATTCAAGTCATTCAGTCCTGTGTGTGGGATGCCTGTATTGTGGTGCAATCTAAGTCAAGGGCATTTCTCAGGTGCCTTCTCCGTGTCCTCCTGCACAGAGATGCAGACTGGCTCAGGCATGGCCTGCCCCCAGGAGCTCACTGTCTAATGGGAAGAGACATGCATGAAAGCAGCTGTAAGGCACACAGTGCTCAAAGAATCTGTCCATCTATTTGTCAGGGTGGTGGGAACAGGAGACAGTACATTGAAATTGGGAATTTGAAGAGCATTTAATAAAGAGATAACTGACAAAGGTGTGAGCAGGGGGCAGAGAAGCCACCGGGCATGGTGGCTCACACCTGTAATCCCAGCACTTTGAGAGGCCGAGGCAGGCAGATCACTTGAGGCCAGGAGTTCGAGACCAGCCTGGCCAACACAGCAAAACCCCGTCTCTACCAAAAATACAAAAATTAGCTGGATGTAGTAGTGCGCACCTGTAGTCTCAGCTGCTCCAGAGGTTGAAGCAGGGGACTTGCTTGAACCCAGGAGGTGGAGGTTGCAGTGAGCTGAGATCACGCCACTGCACTCCAGTCTGGTTGACAAGAGCAAGACTCTGTCTCAAAAAAAAAAAGGCGGGGGATAGAGAAGCCACAAGGGAGAGTGCAGAACCTGGGGCGAGTGACAGTGAGGAGCCCTTATCATCCTCAGGTCTGAAGGGTGAGGGGAAGAGATGTGTGCTTCCACGGAGGGGCACAGCCAACCACAGGACCTGGCTTCCTTCTCCTCCTGCCTCCAAGGCAGTGCATGCAGTCAGTGTGGGTTGGCCTCCCCAGGGCACAGAGCAGGGTGAAGAGGAACGGGTAGATCCAGAGGCGCACATGGAGACTTGCAGAGAAATAGACAAAGTGCTTTTGTGTCAAAGACTTTTGAGAACAAGACAGGGTTAAGATGAATGACTCAATTTGTATAAGGGAGGACTCACACCGCCAGGAGACTCATCCCTCAGGCACAGGGAGGAGGGGGAATGGCATCCCAGGCATAGGGAACAGCATGTGCAAATGCAAAGAGGCATGAAAGAGCCTGTCATGGCTGGGAGCCAGGAAGAGGGCTGTAGGGGGTGCTGGGAGGTGTATTGGGGCAATGTTAGAAAGACAGGCTGGGAAGTTATTTAAGGCACCAAGATGGCACTGGCTGCTTCTCTTGGAACCACTGTGGAAGCGGCCCCCTGTGTCCTTGGCTTCAGAACAAGGGCACCCACTGGACCAAGAGGGGCAAGCGAATATCCTTTTCTGTCATTGATGTCTTCTCCTGGGACAGAGCCTACCATGTAGAAAGGCTCTTGATCTATTAGAACCAGACACACTGTTGGAAAATGTCAGTTTGACACAGTGAGCTGAGCTCTGGATTCCAGTCTATCTCTGCCACCTTCCTCCTGAGTAACTTTGGTCTATAGACCGAGCAATTCCCCATGCCTCCTTTGGGACACCCTTCCCCAGCACCCGTCACGAGCCAGGACCCAGGCTGGGGTGTTCGGATCCAGGGAGGAATGAGGTACATGGTTTCAGGAGAGGGGGTTGGAGTTGTTCCTATCTTGGCCCTGCCACTCAGTGTCTGGAAGCTCAGTCATATTCCAAAACCTCTCTAAGCCTCAGTTTCCTCATCTGTAAATTAAGACTAATAGTAGGAACATTTATTGAGATTTACTCAATGCCAGGCATTTTTCTAGATTTGTTTGCATTTATTTGCTCATTTAATTCTCTAAACAGTAACTATTATTATTCCTTCTAAGAAATGGTAGTTTCATAACCAGCCTGGTCAATGTGGTGAAACCCCATCTCTACTAAAAATACAAAAATTAGCTGGGTGTGGTGGTGTACAACTGTAGTCCCAGCTACTTGGGAAGCTGAGGCAGGATAATTGCTTGAACCTGGGAGGTGGAGGTTGCAGTGAGCTGAGACTGTGCCGTTGCACTCCAGCTTAAGCAAAAAACGAGACTCTGTTTCAAAAAAAAAAAAAAAAAAAAAAGAAAAGAAAAAGAAAAAAAGAATTGATAGAAGCAAGATAGAAACCCAGAAACCCAGGCAGTATGTTGGCCCATACAGCTCAAACCTCAACCATTACAGTAGAGCATGTCAGGGAGGTCATGAGAAAACACGTCATAACCAACTCACATTTGCAGCTGTAACAAAATACATGCCAAGTATTCACACAGAGCACTGTGCACCTGATGTTGTTCTAAGAATCTATGCGCTTTGCCTAAGTTAGTTCATGTAGCCTTTGTAATAACAGTGTGAGGTGGGTACTGTTAGGAGCCCCATTTCACAGATGAGGAAACTGAGGCACAGAGAATTTGGGTAACTTGCTTGAGGTCACAGCTCATAGCTCCCATTAGGTGAAGGCTAATACCAAGAGCCAAGAACTGTTCTAGACACTTCATATGTATTAATTGCTTAGGCCTCAGTGCTGGTGGAAGCAAGGCATGGAGAGTAACCCATAGTAACCATAGCCAGGCCTCAAACTGGTGGTTTGATTTCAGAGTCCCCGCTTCTACACGTGAACTCTGACTCCTTTTCTGGATACAGCGATCAGTGCAGAGTACAGGCTCCCTAAGTATTGACCATTAAGACACAGCCCCCTTGGAGGCTGTAAAATGGGTTCTGGGCTCTGAGGCCCTAGAGAAGCCCCAACAAACTGCTGCCCCATGGCAGGTGCCTTGTCAGAGCTCAGAGCTGCCCCCAGTCAAGTCTTCCAGGAACTCATGACTGACTGGCCTGCCTGTTGTGCCCACGCAGGCACCAGAAACACAGTGAGCAAGCCAGGCCCTGCTGACCTGGACACTGAGCCTCAGTTCCTCCCAGGGCCACCTGATGTTCCCCTTCAAAGTCAACAAGGCCCTGGCTGGCCTCCTTCCTGGAAAATCAGCAGGGCTCACTGCCCTCTGCTGGCTTCTTCCAAGCCCATCCAGCCATGGGAGTTGGGCACCTTTGGGAAGTCAGCTCTGGCTTTCTGAGCACCCTGGCCCCAACTGGGCCTAGACCTCACAGCTACTCAGAGCCTCCCTGGCTGCCGCTCCGCAGAGCGCATTGCAAAGAGCCAAGGACGCCATCTCCCTTGGTCTAGCTGGAAGCAATGGAGATACAGTAGCAGTGGGTTCTGGTCACTGAGCCCCCCGGGCATGCACCCACTCTAACCCTCACGATTTCCCCACTTCACAGGTGAGAAAGCTGGGGCTCAGCAAGCTTAGGGGCTTAGGGAAGACTGCCTGCTGTCTTGTGAGGGAGTAAGTGATGGAGTGGAGACCTGAGCTCACTTCCTCCTGGAGGCTTCCTATGAAACCACATGCACTTCCCAGATGGCCCCACCAAGCGAAGGGCACTCCAGGGGTATTTATTCATGCCTTTGGGTGCCCTGCCCTGAACCCAGGAGCTGTAGGGTAGACAGTGGCAAATATAAGTGGTTTGGGGAGACCTGCCCATAAACCAACAGTGACTCAAAGCAAATGAGTATTGTGGCCAGAACAGAAGCCCCAATACGGCCTGGAAGAGGTGATGCCTGGGCAGGGTCCTGAGAGGTAACACCGAACAGGAGAAAGGGCAGGAAGGGTGCTTCAGACCGGGGGCTGGGGGAGGCAGGAGATTAGAGATTTGGGGAGCTTGAGGGGACTCTGAGTTCACCAGGTGGCTGGAGCACAGAGTGGAAAGGAGAGAGCGGAGGCAACGAAGCCAGAGAGGCAGGTGGGGACAGGGCCTGTCTGGGGAGGGACTTCCCACGCAGCAGGGTCAAGGCCTGGGAGACCTTGGATGGTCACACCAGCTCCTGGTCTCCACTTGACTCCCCCAGCCTCCCAGGGTAAAAGAGGCTTCCCAAATTATAAATCCTACGGACTGACTTTATAGCTGAAGCCCTCGAGAGAAGGTGATTGGCCTAAGGTTCCCCGGAAAAGCCAGACTTGCACCCAGGTCACCTGACTCCAAAGGACATCCTGTCCCTGCAGTGCAATCTCACTGCCCTTTCTCCTTCCAGGGGGTGAGTTTCTGCCTGATCACCGTGGGGGGTGATCAGGGCCCCCATCCCTCGGGATTCCCCTGGCAACTGTGTTGACTAGGCTCCGCCCACATCACCTGCGCGAGGGAGTTTCCCTGCCTTTGAAATCAAACACAAACAAACCCTAAACAGAAACAGCCCCACACCTGAGCTCCAGGTAAACGCAGCCGGAACCGGTGGGGTATACACAATTTTTGGCTCCCATCCAAGAGAGGAAAGGAAGCTGTTTGAATAACAACTCCCCTGTCCAGGTGCCCAGCAATTTACAATTTGCAAAGTGCTTTCCCCAGACATTCCGCCCTTTGATCCTCATATCTGTCCTGAGAAAGAGGTGTTGCCCATTTTGTAGAGGGGAAACTGAGGCCTAAGAGGTAAATTCAAATGCTGAAGGTGACACAGTAAGTTGATGATAGATCTAGGGTTGGAAACAAGTAGCTCCCGGAGACTGTAGGTGTGGGTCGTCTCTGATCCGTGTGGTGGTCAAAGCCAAGAGCCATTTAGTCTGAGTGGGAGGGAGGAAGTACTGTTGAGGCTGAATCTTTTAAAGATGTGCAGCAGTGACCAGGCAGAATGCAGGGGAAGGCATTCTGGGCAGAGGACAGAGCACAAGCAAAGGCCTGGAAGTAGGAAGGCAGGTGGTCAGTTCAGGAACAATGAAGGCTCCAGCGGAACTGGTGCACAGCGAGCGTGGGGATCTGAGAGACGGCGCCCCTCCTCTTCCAGGGGCCTCTTCCCCGTTCCTGCCTCCTGGCTCCTCTTTCATCATCTGCTCTGCTTTGCCATCAGCGTTCAGATCTGTCTCCCCTGTCATCCTGGATGCTCCTGGAGGTCAAGAACCCCGTCTGATTCATTTCTGTGTCCTCAGTCTCCAGCACAGGACCAGCCAGGCACAGAGAGGGACTCATCGAATGAATGAAAATGAATGAAGGAATATGTAGTGCA
Organism: Homo sapiens; assembly: GCF_000001405.40. Taxonomy (NCBI): domain Eukaryota; kingdom Metazoa; phylum Chordata; class Mammalia; order Primates; family Hominidae; genus Homo; species Homo sapiens. The sequence continues at coordinate 54,123,807 of NC_000001.11, read as the reverse complement.
GCTGCATACACAAAATAGCTATTAACACTTTTTTGAACACCAACCGTGTGCCACCAGGCATTCAGCTAACTGCTTTTACTAGTATCATCGCTTTCATCCCTGTGAGATCTGTGCTATTATTCAGTTATTATTATCATAATCATCTCCATCTTTTTTTTTAATTGAGATGAAATCTTGCTCTGTTGCCCAGGCTGGAGTGCAGTGGCTCAATCTCAGCTCACTGCAACCTCCACCTCCCAGATTCAAGCGATTCTCCTGCCTCAGCCTCCCAAGTAGCTGGGATTATAGGTGCACGCCACCAGGCCCAGCTAATTTTTGTACTTTATTAGAGATAGGGTTTCACCATGTTGGCCAGGCTGGTCTCAAACTCCTGACCTCAAGTGATCCACCCGCCTTGGCCTCCCAAAGTGCTGGGATTACAGGCGTGAGCCACTGCACTCGGCCATCATCTATCTCCATTTTATAAATGGGGAAATAGAGGCACATTGAGGTAAAGAGCTTGGACAAAGTCACAAGGCCCACAAATGTCGCTGGGATTTCAACCCAAACCACCAGGCTCCCCTGGTGTACACTCTCGGCCACGTGGAGAGATACCCTCTTGCACATGCTTCCACACAGACCCAGATATACACGGAAGCAGGAATGCCCAGGCCACAGCCCACGCTCCTGGACACCCACTCCTCCTCTGATTTGGCCACACCTTGGCAGAGTGAAGGAGCTCACAGGGCTGGGTGCCAGGCCAAAGGCTGGGTGGGGTTGGAAGGAGTCAGGTGGGCTCTGAGACTGGCTCACCCTTTTCTTCTCTGCGGATGCAGATCTCATCATTTGATAATCTCAGCTCTATCAGGGCTGTGGAAATCCTTTCTTTTCCCCAGGTTCCCCCTGCACACACTCCCCTGCCACAAAATAATAATTCCCTGTGTCCTAGAGGAAGCAAAGAGCTCCCGTCTGCCGCTGGCATACCAGGGCCTTCATCAGGCTCCTTAGAGACAGAATTCCCTCAGCGAGGTTCATCCTGGTGCCCAAGGTCACCCAGAGGGTCTGCAGAGGAGAGGGATTTCTGACTTAGGTGTGCCAGACCCGCCAGCCCAGTGCATCTCTCACTGCCCAAGTCTCTCACCAGGATACCCCAAGCCCTCTTTAAGGTCTGATAGAAGAAAATTCAGCCCCAGGGAGCAGGGGAGGGATTAGAGAGGAGAGGACCTTGCCTGTGGTCCCACAGCCAGGATAGAGGGAGCTGGAACCAGGGCCAGGGGTGCCAGTGGGATGCAAGAGCATATTCCCAGCCAGAACTGAACTTGGGGAAATCCTGCCTGGGCTTTGGCCCCCTGTCCCCAGTTTAGTTTCAAGGCAGAAAGAGATGCTGGGAGGGGGGACCCCGCTGGTGTCAGATGTCCAGACCGGACCTGCAGCTCCGAGCAGCCCGAGCTCAAGTTTGTGAGCCGCGTGTCCGTGTGTCCCCTGCTGGCATTCCCGGGCGTTCCCTCCTATGTGGCTGGGGCACAGGTGTGAGGGGGCGGGTGTGCCTGGGTGTGTTTGCATATGTGCCTGTGGATCTAATGTTACCCCCCACACCTCACGCGAGACTGTCTCCCCCAGTGCCTCATTTGATGCCCACTGCAGAGCTGTGAGGGGCACGGCAGGGGTAGTGGGAAGGGAGAGTTCAAGGGGAAGGTGGAGCCTCAGCAAAGCGGGGCGCCTGACAGCCCAAGGTGGGGGTGCGCGTGTGTGGTTGTGTGTGGGGTGTTCCTGTGTGTGTTCATGTGCGTGTATGCCCGTGTGTGTGGACGCGCGTGCACTGTCTCTAGAGGGGACTGGAACTGACGCTCCCTCGGGTCCCTCCTGGCTCTGCCTATGCTCCTGCCGTGCTGTGAGTGTCGGGGGATCTGGGGTCTGGGTGGGCGGGAGAGTGCGTGTGAGTACGACTATGCCTGGAGAAAGAGGCGGCCTGTGCGTGCTGCCTGCGCGTCCCTGAACCCCCGAGTCTGGGAAGGGCTCAGAGGTGGCTCCGCTCCGGGTCCCCCTGCCTCTCTGGCAGAGGCCGGGGCTAGCGTTGGACACAGCGCCATCTTGTGGGACCACAAGGAGGGCTCCGTGGCACCACCGGGAGCTGCCGGCCACCCTGGAGAGAAAGAGTGATGAGGAAGAGAGCCTGGGAGACCTGGGAGGCCAAACCACCCACACACCCACAGACGCCACAGCCGAGTGGCGCCGGTTTCCAGGCCGGGAAAAGATCCAAGGTGCTTCCTGCGGCTTTCCTCCTCCATCCCAAAGCAGCCCCTAGTCCCTCCTGTGACCGTTGACTAGGGGAGACAGACAGCAAACAAACCTTAAGGCTGAGATAAGCGAGGCGTAATCCATTGTTCCGGTTTACCCCAGTTTGCCTGGGACTCGGGGATTCCCGGGACGTGGGACTCTCAGTTTTAAAGGAGAAAAGTCCTGGGCGAACAGGGGCTGGTCAGTCCCCCTAGACGAGCAAGTGTGGCAAAGTGGGGACGACGGGAGCCTTGCCTGGTCTGGGGTCAGAGAGGGCCCGGCCCCTCATCCCAGCAGGGGTTTTGCTGCTGCAGACTCCCCGCACAATCCCTGCCTCCCTGTAGGCTTTGTTACCATCTCCATGGTATTTGGTGACTCCTGATCTGGTTCTCCACCGAAATTTCCCATGCTGCAGTCGCCCTCCCACCCACCCGCAGCCACGCCCTGTGCCTCACACGGAATCATTGGCGCTCCCTGAGCCTCTCCTGTCGTTTGGATGAGCGGCCTCTCCACACCCAGACTTCTGCGCTGGCCTCGGATTTCTCCCTCTCCCAGGTCTCTCATCCAGCTCTGTCCGCCCACGTACCACCATCTCTCCAGTCCACTCCTTTCTCTCTCGCCCCACTGCCACCACCAGACCACCCAGCTCCCGCCTCCAGCCATGCCCCAATTTCGTCCAGACCACGACCAAGCCACGGAGTGTGGTGCACTAAGGGTGAGGGAGGATGTCAGCTTGCACGTGGTTCCAGGTTCTAGGTCCAAGAATTCTTGCTCTGGCACCTGAGCACACCCTTTCCACCTACCCCGCGTTGCAGGGACTGCGAGGGTGCCATCTGCCTCCCTCAGGGGCTTTTTCTGAACAGTTGGCCATGGCCACTCCCGCCTCTCTACTCCATTCCCACACCCCAGCAGAGGGACCTTTCTGCTCAGGCCAGCCACGGCCCCCCATTGCCTGCAGGGTGAAGCGCTCCAGCCTGGCTCACAGGCTCTGCGCGGCCTGGCCCCTTCACTCTTGCAGTGACGCCCCCAGCCACTGCTCTGCCTGCACCCGCCCTGCTGCTGTGCTCTGTGGAGAATGATGATGATGTGTGGTGGTGTGTCGTGATTGTGTGTTTGTGTGATGGTTGTGATGATGCGTGTGGTGACTGTGTGTGGTGGTTGTGATGATGGTGATTGCGTGTGTGGTGGTTGTGATGGTGTGTGTATCGTGGCTGTGGTGGTTGTGATGGTGTGTGTGATTGTGTGGTGGTTGTGATTGTGTGTGGTGGCTGTGATGGTGTGTGTGATTGTGTGTGGTGGTTGTGATTGTGTGTGTCGTGGCTGTGATGGTATGCGTGGTGATTGTGTGTGTGATGGTATGTGTGTGATTGTGTGTGTGTGATGGTATGTGTGTGATTGTGTGTGGTGGTTGTGATGGTGTGTGTCATGGTCATGATTGTGTGTGTGGTGGTTGTGATGGTGTATGTGTGGTGGCAGTGGTGGCTGTGATGGTGTGTGTGGTGATTGTGTATGTGGTGGTTGTGATGGTGTGTGGTGGTTGTGATGATGTGCATGTGTGGTGGCTGTGGTGGTGTGTGTGGTGCTTGTGATTGTGTGTGTGCGTGGTGGCTGTGATGGTGTGTGTGGTAATTGTGCGTGTGGTGGTTGTGATTGTGTGTGTGATGGCTGTGATGGTGTGTGTGGTGGTTGTGATTGTGTGTGTGCGTGGTGGCTGTGATGGTGTGTGTGGTGATTGTGTGTGTGGTGGTTGTGATTGTGTGTGTGTGGTGGCTGTGATGGTGTGTGTTTTTGAAGTTCATCAGCATTGTAACATGTATCAGGACTTCATTACTCTTTCTGGATGAATAATATTCCGTTGTGTGGGTGAGCACTACGAATTGTCCACCCATTCCTCCAACTGATGGACATTTGGGCTGTTCGGGCTTACTTTTGACCTCTCTAGCTATGTCCATACAATGGCTTGGAGGGCACAAGACTGGATGTGGAAGATGGGCTGGAGAGTGTCTCAGTGACGTGAGCCTAGGTCAGTGGCCGTGGCAAGGACAATGCCACTGATTTAGAAGGAAGGTGGGCTGGGTGCAATATCTTGAGCCTGTATTCTTAGCAACTCAGGAGGCTGAGGCAGGAGGATAGCTTGAGGCCAAGAGTTCAAGGCTGCAATGAGCCATGATCATGCCACTGCACACCAGCCTGGGTGACAGAGCAAGACAGTGTCTCTAAAAATAAAATGAAATTTAAAAGAGAAAGCAGATGGTTGGAATGTGGGGCTGGAGGGAGGAGTGAAAAATGTCTCCCAAGTTTATGGCTTGTGAGTTGTGTGAATGGTGGCTCCGCCCTTGGTATAGGGGAAGGGGGGAAATTTAAGGAGCAGAACTCGTTTGGTTTGGACCTTGCAAGTCTGAGTTGCCTGTGGACCATGCAGGTGGAATTGTCCCCCAAGTAGTTAGAGGTGTGGATGTGGAGCTTGGGGGAAAGTCGGGGCAGAAGCTAGGCTCTGACAGTCATCAGCGTGTAGCTGAGATGATCAGGAGAGGGTGTGTGTTGCGGGGAGAGGAGGGGCATTAGAGCAGGACCTCCGAGGATCCCCTTGTCCTTGCACTCTGGAAGGCAGATCCTGATCCTCTTGCTCATCACTGAGTCACTAGACTCAAGCCCAGTGACCGACACAGAAAAATAGCTACTTAAATAATAGCTGGATGAATGGAGAGGAGCCCACAACAGCCTGAGATCTAGGAGGGTAGTGGTGATGTGGCAGCCGCCAGTCTGGGAAGGGACCCACAGCCTTGATTCATAATTAGGAATGAGGACAGCACTGTGACCCGGGCAAGTGAAGATAGGGCCGAGGAGGAGTTGAGGAGAGGAGCTAAGAGAGTGAGAGTCGTGGCTCCCTGGAGAAGTGTGGCCTTTCTCAAGCAGGAGAGAGGCGAGGAGGAGCTGGAGCACCGGTGAGGGTGGAGGGGGCTGATTTAGTGGATGGTGACCCTGGTTTCTGTCTGTTTGGTTTTGTTTGTTGAGGATGGAAAGGCTTTAAGTGCATTTAAATACTGACGGGAAAAGCTAAGGAAGGGGGCGAGAGGTGGACATTGAAGTAGAGCAAGGCCTGTTACAGAGTGGGAGGCAGGGGCTGGAGCACAAGGGGAGGGGCGGGCAGTGACAGGACAGCACAGCCTCTGAGAACACGACAGTGCAGCTCGTGTTCCTGCAGGGGGAGGGGGAGGGAGCTGCTATGAGATGCTTATATTGTTTGTGGCATGGGCGGCAAGGCCATCTGTGAGTATAGGAGGTGAGGGTGCAGTTGGAGGGCTTAGGCAAGGGAAGAGCCCCTTAACTGCTCCTGAGAGGCCCAGGAATGGGTGAGCCAACCAGAGTCAGTGGAAGAAGTAAGTGCGGTTGGAGGCTAGGAGTGTGTGATGGTACCAACCCGCTGCCCAAGGAATATTTCTGCAGGTGTCTCGGTGATTCCTTGAGTCACCGTGGCTGACTCACACTTCTGCATCCCCAGTGCCCAGCCTAGACCTAGCACAGACCAGGAAGCATGATGCCCAGTGAGCATGGAGTCAGATTTGCAGAATGGTGCAAAGACATGGTAATCCCAAGAGCCCTTGCAGGAGAGCTTGGAGAGGAGAGAGTGAGCCAAAAGGCCTCCTCTGGGCAGCTGGGCGGTGGTCAGGAGGCCCAGATCTGGCTGAGTGACCTTGGCTAAGTCCTCTCCCCTCTCAGGCATTTCAACTGCCACTGTTGGAGGATCTGTAGGGACTCTACTGCATTCTTCACTAGCTGCATTCCACCCCTCCACCGCCCACCCCACCCCCAGACCTCACCCCAAACCTACCCAACCCTGCCCTTACTTGATGCTGTGACCAAGGCTCTCTGCAGAAGAAAGAGCTTTGTTTGACCTTGGGAAACTCTGCTAGACGCCCCCGTTTTTCAGTGGCCCTGGGAAGTAGGTGTATGCAGAAGGGATAACTAGAAGCTCCCAGCTGCTCTGCCAGAGTTTCTAGGACTTCAAAATTAGTTTTCTTTTCCTCTCCCCAAGCTGAGATTTGTAATAAGCCCCAGGCACATCAGATGGGAGTGGGAAAGGAAGGCATCTGGGAAGAGCTGAGAGACACTGAGTGCTCCTAGTGAGCACCGAAGCCCAGGTTGGGCCCTGTGTGCAGGTGGTTCAAAGGACGCCTGGGAGAAAGAAGACTTAGGTTCCAGTTCCAGCTTTGCCTTTAGCTCACTGTCTGACCTTGGCCTCAAACCTGAGCATGCCCAGGGTCAGAACTCCCTGAGGACTTTGTTAAAGGGGGGTTGTCGATTGCTGGTCCCAGCCCCAGCGTTTCTGATTTAATAGGTCTAAAGTGGGGCCCAAGAATTTTCATTTTCTAACAAGTGCCCAGGTGATGGAAGGCTGCAGGTGGAGGGAATCCACATTGAGAATCACTGGCCTAGTCACTTTCCTTCTGAGTCTGAAGGGAAGTTCCCCTCTCAACAGGTAGAATCACACTGGCTCCTCCTACCTCTCCCCAAGGGGTGCTGTGAGGCTCAAACCAAAAAGCCAGATGAATTCAGGAACTCCTGAGAGTTGGTTGGGACCTCAAGATCCATCTGCTTTGAACTCCCCATTTGACAGGAGAGGAAACTGAGGACCAGAGATGGCGCAGAATAAGGTCACAGTCCAATTAGAAGATGGCAGCTGGAACTAGGCCCCAGGTAGCCTTCCTCCTGTGCTCCCCTAGCCTGAAAGAGATTTCAGTGTCTTGTCTTTCAGAGGAAGTGACCCTACATGGCATTTGTAGCAGATACTGAAAGTGTCCTGCCTGTGTTCCTTGATGCTCACCATTTCTGTGCATGTCGACCTGACAGCCTCTAAGGGCCAGCCCTTGTGACTCTGCCTGAGGACTTTCTCTGGCCTCGGAGCCCACCGGGCCTGGCCTGCATGCATGCAGGAAAGTTGTCAGCGAGCTAATATCCGTTCTCCTGCAGCAAATCCCAGACAATTCTTGGTGGATAGATACCCCACCTCCCTTGCCCCTTGATAGGGATAACTGTAAGGCTTGTTGTACCCTATTATCCAGGAATCCTCAGTGGAATTGAGCCCTGGCTGGTTACAGGGAAAATCAGCTTGATAACACACCCTTTGTTGGCTTCTTTTCCTCCCTGTTTCACGTTCCAACACCTCTTTAGGTGTTCCAACACCTCCTCTGACTCACCTCTCAAATAAACCACTTGTCTCAAATCAATGTTTTAGAGTCTATTTCTGGAGAAACTCAGCCTCAGACAGAATAATAATAATGGTAACAGTGGTTCATTCAGTGAACACCTACTATGTGCCAGGCATTGTGTATCTATGACCTCATTCGATCTTCAAGACGACTGTTCCAAGTGGGTATTATCACCTGCATGTCACTGTTGAGATTGTTCAGGTTCAGAGAGGAGAGGTGGCCTGACCAAGGACTCTCAACTGATAAGTTGTAATCCACAAGGCGGGGAGGCAGGTAAGTCAGACTCCACTCTGCACTTTGTAGGACTGGGAGTTAAGGAACCTGGGTTCCCTCTTTGGGGGCTCAGGCCTAGCCCCTGCTGCCCCTGGGCAGTCATGACCAGAGAGAAGGCAGTATGGGGCACCAGGATAAGGAATCTTTGCCCCTGACACTGTCCTCATTGCAGGCACCATTAACAGCAGCAGCAATGGGACTCCTTCCAAAGGCCTCACTAACTGAGGATATTGATGAGGAAGGAGCCAGAGTTGGAGAGGAAGGACCGGCAAATACGGTGACCACAATTGACAGGCTACCTTGTGGCTATTCTTGGGGACTCCCAGGAATAACTAGGGGAGCTTCTGAGAAGGATAAGTTTCTGCTTATGTAGAAGTGGAGCTCAGGGTCATCGACTCTTTTGGCAAAAATGGGACTCCATTTTGTAACCACCAGCCAGTGAAGCCAGGCAATGTTTAAGTTTCATCTAATACATTTCTAATGTGCTTGTGGGGACAGAATAGGGTCTTTGTTTATGGAAGTGCAATATTTTGCTTTTGGTTTAAGTTTCAAAGCATGTTTCCATAGTAAATATTTTTGTTACATAAAAAGAAAACGATTTGAGTAATAATGAAGTCATATACTCACGTATAGTAAAATAAGCTCCCTTAATGGCACTCAGGGGCCCAGGTTAGACTTCATGCTGGGCCCATTTTCACTGGTGGGAGCTTTGAATGTGTCTTCCTGTGTCTAGCCTCAGTTTCCTTGTGTGTGACAAGCGAGGCAGCTAAATGGTCCCCATGCCCTCGGAGGTCCCATGTTTGACAGGGCCTGTGGCTCTCCCTCGGGGCCACTTGGCAAATCTAAGCAGGTTCCTGCCCCAGTCTAGCCTAGAAGCAGATCTGTAATTGAGCCTGCAGGGTCACCGTGACAGGCACAGCCCGTAAATCTCAGCTGAGGGAGCAGCCCAGGGAGATAAATTGTGCTGCAGCTGAGTCTTCCCTTGCACTCTGGGAACAGCCTGACTCTGGGGTTAACATGGAGAGAAGGGGAGCTCACAAAACTATTCCCCATGGATGAGACACGCAGTGGGGTGGGGACATGAGGACCCAGTCCATGTCTGGTGAGGAAGAAGTGGTTGCAGAATGCTGTTTGCTCTTTAGAGCTCATGACGCAGATGGGGGATGATTTAAACAAAACAGTGGCTTGGTCAGAATAAATGCATTATCATGGGATATTTACCTGCCTCTCTTCTCCCCTGGGGACTGAAGCCAGAGACTGCATCTGGGTCAGCTAGGCATGCCCAGCACAGGGACGGGTAGATGGTAGGCATCACCAAATACAAATAATAGAAAATAATAAGAGGTAGCATATATTGAGTGCTTATGCTGTGCCAGGCCCTGTGCTCACTGTTCTATATGTATTATTTATTCTTTGCAACAATCCCAGGAGGGACCTTCATAACACAACTGAGAAAACATGCCCACAGCACAGAGATGTTGACGAACTTATCCAGGATCACTCAGCTAATAAGTGGCTGAGCCAGGCCTTCAACCCAAGCAGTTTTAGCTCCAAAGCCTAGGGTCTGATCCACTCTGCGAAATGATCAGTACAGTAATGATGGCAACAAGGAAAGCTCATTCTGTCAGGTACCTGGCAAGGGAGCATAGGAGGGATTAATCAAGGATGGGCAGGAGACCACAGGCAGCCTGGCAGAGGGAACATCAGGTGCAAAGACAAGGGGTTAAGAAGTCATTGCACATTTGGGGAATGATGACACAGTTGGAAAGGTAGAGGTGTAGAAAGGGCACTGAGAGATTAATCTGGGGAGGGAGGTGAGGGCCAGATCACTGCAAGCCTCAAGAGCCAAGCTCAGTGGCATGACTTCTAGCCAGTGGGCCAGGGCAGCCACTGCAGGTGTTAAGCAGGGCAGTGATACGGCCAGGTGTGAGGACCACACCACCTCTCACCAGCTCTGTGACCTTGGGCAAGTCACTTCTTTTGGAGCCTCGGTTTCCTGATCTGTCAACTGGGAGTGATTATCACATGCACGTCTCTGTTGAGATTGCTCAGGTCGAGAGAGGAGAGGACTAGGAGTCAAAGAACCTGAGTTCCCTCTTTGGGGGCCCAGCCTCAGCCCCTGCTGCCCCTGGGCAGTCATGACCAGAGAGAAGGCAATGTGGGACATCAGGATAAGGCATCTTTGGAACCTCCTGCCTCATAGGGCTTGGACAAGGACTAATGAAACAGGATGAAAAGGATTTTGTAAACTGTAAACGATTTTACAAATGCAGGTTGGTGGGTGGAATGGAAGGAAGTGAGCAGATAGCAGGTGTGAGGTAAGCCAGCCTATTTCACATAGAGGCTACTAGGTTTATTCCAACTTTCCTTTATTGTTATTAAAATTTTACATTTGCAGCTGGGCACGGTGGCTCACACCTGTAATCCCAGCACTTTGGGAGATTGAGGTGGGTGGATCAGGAGGTCAGGAGTTCAAGACCAGCCTGGCCAAGATGGTGATAACCTGTCTCTTCTAAAAACACAAAAATTAGCTGGGTGTGGTGGCAGGTGCCTGTAATCCCAGCTACTCGGGAGGCTGAGGCAGAGAATTGCTTGAACTCAGGAGGCAGAGGTTGCAGTGAGCCAAGATCACGCCACTGCACTCCAGCCTGGGTGACACAGCGAGACTCCGTCTCAAAAAAAAAAAAAAAAATTACATTACATTTGCATGGAGTTTTGCTAATTACCATCATTTGGGTTTCATTACCTCACTTGAGGATCTCTAAACCTTTTGATTAGATAGAATGATTCCCATTTCCCAAGTGAAGACATTGAGGCTTGGAGAGGGACAGGACTGCCCCAGCCATGCAGAGGGCAGAGCTGAGGCCTAGCCCGGGTGTTAGAGCTGCAGAGCTGTGCACTGCCTCCTCTGCTTCCCATGACCTTCTTTATACTGAGCAGCTTGTCTGAGCTGACGCCTGCGAATGACCAGCCAAGGACGTAGAGGCACAAGGAAGCAGGAAACAGCAAGAACGATGACTGGTAGGATTCAGGATTGTAGTATTTGCAGCTTTGACTCTTTGTCAATAACCTACATGGTCTGCAACAGCTTATAATTTGTCAGTTTGCTGAGGACCAAATTTGAATTCTTCAAGACCAGTGTATGCAGCCAAAGCCTATTTGTGAGCAAGTCCAGCTGGCTGCCCAGCACACACTTCTCAGCTCAGCTTTCTGGTTCTCTCCTCTTTGTGGGAGGCAGGGTGACCCTCAACACATGGGCTTCAGTCAGCACATCTGGGGTGAACTCCCAGCTTTGCCCTGAAGTGGTGTGACCTTGGGAAAGTGACTTCCTGTCTCAGAACCTCAGTTTCCTAATATGTAACTCCAGAATAATAATACCTCAAAGCACTGTCGAGGGTCATTCATGGACTCTCTCTGCAGGATAAAAGGAACTGGTCACAGCGTGGTCTGTGGGAAGGGGAAGAGGGACATGGGAGTGCAGAGGAGGCAGGGAGACTTACTTTTCTCTCTTCGCCTTTTTGTAATCTCTTATTTAAAAAAAAATCACATATGCAGAATTCCTTTATTCACGTAAATTATTGAAATTTCAAACAATGAGATAATGCATGAAAAGCACTGAGCATAGTCTTGGCAGTTAATAAATACTCCATAAATGTTAGCTTTTATTGTTATTATACACATTATTACACAGTGATTTTGTTGTTGTTTGAGACAGGGTCTCTGTCGCCCAGGCTGGAGTGTAGTGGCACCATCCTAGCTCACTGCAGCCTCAACCTCCCGGCTCAAGTGATCCTCCCGCCTCAGCCTCCCTAGTGGCTGGGACTACAGGTGCACGCCACCATGCCTGGCTATTTGTTGTTGTTGTTGTTGTTGTTGTTGTTGTTGTTTTGTAGAATTGGGGTTTTGCCACGTTACCCGGGCTGGTCTTGAACTCTTAAGCTCGAGTGATCTGCATCTTGGCCTCCTGAAGTGCTGGGAATACAGGTGTGAGCCAGTGAGCCCAACCCACAGTGATTTTTAAGAACTGTTTCTTTGTGGAAAATGACTCCTTCCAAAAGTTAAATGCTCCTTCATGGAGCTGAAGAGAAAGTGAAGAGATTAAGGGTAGCAATACTTCTTAGCCACAAAACATGAGTTTCCCTGACTTGATCTTTGACTTGGCTCTTTACTGATCCAGCCAAAGCTGAAGCCAGGGCACTGGGGGAGCATGACAGCCTTGCCAGAGAGGGAGGCCGGCCCACCCAGGAATGCCCATCCAATCGGTCCAGACTGGGATTTGGAGCCTGTCTGTGGCCTACTGGCTCAGTCACCTTGGGCAAGTCATTTAACTTCTCTGAGCCATCAGCTTTTCATTTGCCAAATGAGGATGGTGATACTATCTGCCTTGCAGGGTTGTCGTGAGGGTTACATGGGAGAGCTGTGTGATGGCTACCATCATCACATCTTCATCTTCATCATCATCAAGTGTTTAGGCCTCACCCGGGAGCAACGGGGCCAGTAAAAAGCTTTCTGCCCGGTGTGGGAAGGTTGGACTTAGGAGTTGGACAGGCCACTCTAGAGGTCAATGTGGAGAGGGGACTGGCCACTCCAGTTGACCTTCCTGAGTAGTACCCTTAGGCATGAATTGGACTGACCCAGCAGAAGTTTGGCCCAGGATTGTGGCCGAGAAACAAAATCTGAATGTAACTAACACAGCTTTACCTTATCCACTTGCCTGGGATGGTACTTATGCTAATCCTATTCCAAGCAAAAGCAACTCAAACTAATAAAAGCTGCGCCTCCGCTCTGGGTTCCACACCATCTGTCGGTCCACACGCTTGGGATTAGCTCTTCCCATGGAGCCCAGACTGTCTGCTCGGCTGCGTGGACTATCAGAGGCCAGCCTGGAGGCACGGGGGCGGTGCCATCCATTCATGAGCACATATGCATGGAGCCCTGCATGGGGCCAAGCCCTATGCCAAGGACTGGAGGTCCAGTGAAGGAGAGACGGACAAGGTCGCTGCTCCCAGGAAGAGCTCTGGTGGGAGAAGCAAAAAAATTAGCAAGGGAATAAAGAAGTGCATATGGTAACTTCTGATCGTTTTAAGTCCTATGAAGAAAAACAACACTGATGTGTCAGAGAGTGACTTGGGGGTGTGGGCCTAATTAGAGAGGGTGGCCAGGGTAGGCCTCTCTGAGGAGGTAAGAACTGAAGGACAAGAAGTCACCTCGGGGCAATCAGGGCATGCTGGGCAGAGGGAAGAGTGCATGCAGCTGCCCCAAGGAAGGGGTATAGTCAGGAAGTTTGAGGGACAGAAGACCAGAGAGGCTGGAGCCAGGGGTAGGACAAAGATGGAGATGGTGCCAGAGGCCAGGACACGGAGGACCTTGTAGGCCACTGTAAGGACTTTTGTTTTATTCTTAGGGTGATCGGAGACATTGGAAGGTTGTGTTGTTTTTTTGTTTTGTTTTGTTTTGTTTTGTTTGAGACAAGGTTATGCTCTGTTGCCCAGGCTGGAGTGCAGTGGCGCAATTACGGCTCACTGTAGCCTCAACTTCCCAGACTCAGGCAATCCTCCCACTTCAGCCTCCCAAGTAGCTGGGACCACAGGTGCATGCCACCACATCTGGCTATTTTTTTTTTCTTTTGTAAAGAGATAAAGAGATCTCACTATGCTGCCCAGGCTGGTCTCAAACTCCTGGGCTCAAGCGATCCTCCCACCTCGGCTTCCTAAAGTGCTGGGATAACAGGCATGAGCCACCACACCCAGACCCATTGAAGGGTTTTGAGCAGGGGAGTGACATGACCTGCAGTATATTCTAGACATTCACTCTGGCTGCTGAGTGTAGAATTGATTAGAGAAGGGACAAGGGGCTCCCAAGAAGACTGGGTAAGAGGGTCAGGCATAAGGTGATGGAGAGAAGATTAAGGGGTGGGGTCACATTTGGGAGACTAAGGCAAACTGCAGAGTACCCAGCACAGTCTCTAGCCTGTACAGGAGTTCACTACCTGGTGGTTGGGGCTTTGATGATTTTGATGATTTTGATTCCCCTCTAACACACAGCCTCCCCTATTTGATCTGCTTAAGTCCTGGTCTGGAGGCCCCTGTGGCAATGCTGGATGCTTCTCCCTTATGAGCTGGCCTCAAGTCATCTCCATGCCATGTGGGCTGCTTATCTCAGAGGTAAACCTGCCACAGGCTATGTATTTTCTGGCTCTGAAGTAATCCAACCCTTAGTGCTTCTTTGGGAGCCTTGCTGTCTACATCAGGCAGGAGGGGACGGGGCTCTTGCACATATAGAGATTTACTGACCCAGCACCAACTTCAGAACCATGAAAACCCATGGCTGAGGGAGGGCTTGGCCTCCTGCCTGGGCTATTATTTACTCAGTCAGTGCATGTGTATAGAGCCCCTGATCTGTACCAGACTCTGCTGGGGACACAGAAATAAATCAGACAGTCCCTTCCCTGGAGAAGTTCACATTCAGGTGGAGAGGGAAACAGATAACGAAATGCCTGATGTGCTATAGGTGCTCCATATTTGCTGGTTAACAAATAGTTACCTACGTAGTAAGCCCCTGATACATGTAACCATAATTTTACTTAGGAGTTTCCTCACCTGAAAACCTTTAAAGTTCTCCAAGTAAAAATTCCCAGCCCAGCACTCAGGCCACCCACATACTGGCCTCTACCTCCTTCTCCAGGCTCACTTCATGCTATTCCTCCTCCTGCTGCACTTTGGCTCCATCCACGTCACACTTACTCCTGTTCTTTGACATCCTTCTAGCTTCCACGTTTGCACATACCTTTCCTTGTACCTGGAATGCCACTCCCTACCTGGGAAACTCCTCTAAAACTCTCAAACCCAGCTCACAAGTCAGCATTTCTGCTAAACCTTTCCTGATACCCTCCGGGCCAGGCCCCTCTACAGGCACAGTTCAGTGGTCCCTCCACTGTGCTCCCACTCAGCCCCTAGTATGTCAGATTGCAATAGATGGATGACTTGGCTCCTTATTGGACTGTGAGCCCCCGTCTGGTTCATCTCTGCGGCCTGGGACCTGTCACCGGGCCTGGCATAGAGGAGGCAGGTATTCAGGAAGCATTTTCTTTTTTTTTTGGGACGGAGTCTTGCTTTGTCACCCAGGCTGGAGCGCAGTGGTGCGATCTCGGCTCACTGCAAGCCCCGCCACCCGGGTTCACACCATTCTCCTGCCTCAGCCTCCCGAGTAGCTGGGACTACAGGCGCCCACCACCATGCCCGGCTAATTTTTTGTATTTTTAGTAGAGATGGGGTTTCACTGTGTTAGCCAGGATGGTCCCAATCTCCTGACCTCATGATCCGCCCGCCTCGGCCTCCCAAAGTGCTGGGATTACAGGCATGAGCCACCACGCCCGGCTCAAGAAGCATTTTCATTCATGGTTGTGTGTATTAGCTTCTACTAGGGCTGCCATAACAAAGTACCACAGACTGGATGGCTTAAACAACAGATTTATTTTGTCGCAGTTCTGGAGACTAGATGTCCAAGATCAAGGTGTCAGTGGGTTTGGTTTCTTCTGAGGCCTCTCTCCTTGGCTTGTAGGTGGCCACATTCTTGCTGGTCCTCACATGGTCTGTGTGCTGTCTGCATCCTAATCTCTTCTTATAAGGACACCAGTCATACTGGATTAGGGCTCACCCATATGATCTCATGTTACCTTAATTAGCTTTGTAAAGGCCCTATCTCCAAATACAGTCACATTCTGGGGTACTGGGGGTGAGGACTTCAACATACGAATTTGGGGATGATGCAGGGTGATAAGGACATCCGTGTGGCTATGCATAGCTAGATGAGAGGCACAAGAATCAGGCCAAAGAAGTCAGCAGGACTGGGAATGCTAGGCCTCAGGTTAGCCTTCAGCCGCTGGAGAAAAAGCTGAGGAATAAAAGGAAAACTTAATCCCACTTAAAGGGGTGAAAGAGCAAGGAAGGCGAACCCTTTGGGGTTGTAATGGGGGATATAAATATTGATTATGTTTACAGGATGTTCTCAAGGGCTATTAGCTCTGAGTTCATTTTCCAACATAAATAAAAGAAGATAACCATTAAGGACTAAGGGTCTATTAATAGGCAACAAAATATGTGGACACTTACAAACATACAAATACCATCCCCTTCTTCACCTCTGAGACCATTTCACAAAATATTCTCTTACTTAGATGGGGAAATTGAGGTCTGGAGAGTTGAAATAGCATGTCTATGGTTGAATAGCAATACGCTAATGATTATCCTACTCAAAGGCAGACATGAAAAGCTGTGGAGGAAAAATCCTTGCCAATCATAAGAGCTTGTTTCTCACACAACGTGGTTGTGTATGTTTTCTGCATTTAAAAATACATTATATGAATTTATGATCACTATGAAAAAACATCTGATTACAACCCAACGCATAAAATAAATGAGTCCATATTGATATATTAATAAATAAATTATCAAAAAAATTAAATGGCAGAGAAGGGACAAATCTTCCTTAAAGAAGCCTTCCAAATTATATAGGTAGATACTCCACTCTCCAGGAGGTGGAGTTTAATCCACCCCCAGCCCCCTAACCTTTGAGTGAGGGTTAGATTTGGTGACTTGCCTCCAAAAACAAAATATGGAAAGGGAAAAATGACAACTTCATAGTGGGAAAATCTGGCAAAAACTAACGTAACCAAGCACTCAGGGCTAGCATCACCAGTCAATAGTCCTGTGGAAGCCATGTGCCCCCTGCTGTGAAGTGATGAGACAGGCACTTCATCTCAGTGGTATTCTTCCCCAAAACCCTGAATTCCAACTTAGTCATGAAGAAATCCTCAGACAAACCCAAATTGAGGGACAGTCTACGAAACACCTGGCCAGTACTGCTCAAGACTGTCAAGGTTATGGGGAACAAGGGAAGCCTGAGAAACTGTCACAGAACAGAGGAGACAGGATAGACAGGATGACTGAGTGCAGCCTGGGGTCCTGGACTGAATCCTGAAACAGAAAGAGGACATCGGTGGGAAGACTGGCAAAGTCTGAGTGAAGTCTGGAGTTTAGTAATAGTAGTATACCAACAGTGGACTTTTAATTTTGACAGATGTACCACACTATTGTAAGAAGTTAACAATGGTGGAAACTGGGTGAGGGGCATACATGAACTCTCTGTATTTTTGCCACTTTTTGTGTATCTAAAATAACTCCGAAATAAAAAGTTTATTTAAAAAAATCAGGCAAGGGGAGTGAGTCCCTCCTGACCAAAAACCCCTCACCCCATCCAAAACGTCTCTCTAAATTGGGTATATATCTGTACACATCTTTTTTTTTTCTTTTTCTCAATATGTTTCTATGGAAATAGTTTTTTTCCCTTACATAAATAGTTCATAGTGTACATATGGTACTGCAGCTTCCTTTTTTCACTTAACAATATGTCTCAGTGATGTTCCCATGTCAGTACTTATAAATTTGCGTGGTCCAACACAGTAGCCACTAGCCACATGAGGCTATAAGCACTTGAAAAGGTAATTAGCCCAAACTGAGATGCACTGTAAGAGTAAAATACATACCACATTTCAGAGGCTTAGTACAAAAAATGTAAAATGTCTCAGTAATTTTTACATTGATCACATGTCAAAGTAATAATATTTGGGGCATATTGGACTCAAAATATATTATTAAAATTAATTTGTTTCCTTTTATATTTTTTATGTGGCTACTGGAAAATTAAAAAATACATATGTGGTTTGTGTTATATTTCTATTAGATAGTGCTGTTATACAAACCTAAACTCATTCTTTTTATCCACTGCACGGTATTCCAAAATCTGGATGTACAATTTAACCATTCTTTTTTAAATGTGCATTTAGACCATTTCTAAAATTTTGCTGTTACAAACCATGTTGCAATTAAAATCTTTGTACATGCCTCCTTTGCACATATGTAAAAGTATTTCTCTAGAGCATGTTTTGGCATGCTAAGGCCCATGAACCAAATGCAGCCCACCACCTGTTTTTGTAAATAAAGTTTTATTGGAACACAGCCACATTCATTCATTTACATACTGTCCACAGCTGCTTTTGTATTACAATAGCAGAGCTGAATAGTTGTGACAGAGACCATGTGGCTCACAAAGCTTAAAATATTTACTATCTGTTCCTTTAAAAAAGTTTGCTGGCCGGGTGTGGTGATTCATGTCTATAATCCCAGCACTTTGGGAGGCCGAGGAGCGCGGATCACGAGGTCAAGAGATCAAGACCATCCTGGCCAACATGGTGAAACCCAATCTCTCTAAAAATAAAAAAATTAGCTGGGTGTGGTGGCATGGTAGTCCCAGCTACTCGGGAGGCTGAGGCAGGAGAATCGCTTGAACCCGGGAGGCAGAGGTTGCAGTGAGCCAAGATCGCGCCACTGCACTCCAGCCTGGTGACGGAGTGAGACTCCGTCTCGAAAAAAAAAAAAAGTTTGCTGACCCCTGTTCTAGAATTGTTAACAAAAACTGGAAGAGCTATGTTATAGGCCCACTTCCTTGGAAAGTAGACTCTGAGATGGAGATTAGCATGCGGGAAGTTTATCAGGGATTGCTCTTGGGAAGGGGGCAGGAAAGGAAGCAGGATTGCTCAGAGAGATAAATTGGGCTCCGATGCTGTATGAAGACCTCAGCCAGTCTCATGGGAGGGTCTTGAAGCTGAGATGGCCCTTCCAAGTTGTCAAGTTGAGGCAGTGGGGCCAGGCCTTCATAACCTTGAACTGACCTGCCTGGGAAAGGGGTATGTCAGTGAGGTAACTCTTCCATTGAGGAAAATTCCCAGGGGGCTGACAGCTGAAGGCTGCTGGCTGAGAGCACTCCCAGTAGCTGTGGGAAGAGGCCCAGGAAGCATGGTGGCTGGGGGGTCTGGGCAGCACAGGATGGTGTCCACTACAGCCCACATTTGTGCTGCTCAGCTCTACTTTTTGGTTTAAGTTCTGGTGGACCTCCTTTCCTGGGGGAAACTTAGGAAAGTAAGTTGGACAAACTACAACCTCCATCACTGACTGGTCTTGAGGCCACAACTGATACTCATCATCTCCCTCTTCTACTATCCATTCTAGATCCTCCTTACCCTCAGCCAGCACGTGTTCCGGTCTCCGTCACTTCCACGGAGGCATGATTTAGACCCTCAGCCCTGAGGGGGCTGAGCCTGAAGTCAGCATATCCTGCTCAGGTCACGGTCTGGGCACTTGTATAATTATTTTATAAATATTGGGCAAGGGGCCAGGCGCAGTGGCTCACGCCTGTAATCCCAGCACTTTGGGAAGCTGAGGCAGGTGGACTGCTTGAGGCCAGAAGTTCAAAACTAGTCTGGCCAACATGGCGAAACTCCATCTCTACTAAAAATACAAAAATCAGCTGGGCATGGTGGCACATGCCTGTAATCCCAGTTACTCGGGAGGCTGAGGCAGGAGAATAGCTTGAACCCAGGAGGCAGAGGTTGCAGTGAGCCGAGATGGTGCCACTGCACTCCAGCCTGGGTGACAGAGACTCCACCTCTGAAAAAGAAAAAGAAAAAAAAATTGGGCAAAGGAATACCAAGAAGTCTCCACGTGAATCAACTGAGTACCAAAGATATACCTCCCTTCCCTCCATTGCTTAACAGCAGCTGTACCTCCTCCTGATGATCAGGATTAATTATCCCTCAAAGAATGGTGACTGTTCTTGCCTAGTAGTCTCCTGATATGAGGAGCTCAAGTGCCCGGGTGCAGTCACAGCTAATAGTTCATAGTAATCTTGATGTTTCTTTTAGTGGAAGTGTTCCTCCTTTGTGACTCAAAACCTCTAAACCTGCAGAGCCCAGAACTATGAGAACAGGAGGCACTCCAAGTGGGTCACTAGAAGTGATGGTAAGAGTGAGAGCACTCCTGCTTTCATTTCTTGGTTCCTGGACTCATGTATTCTACCTATTGGAGACAAAGCATCACGTAACGGTCTTTGATTTCGAACATGTGCTGCACCCTGGAGGATGGCAGCTCTTCTCTCAGGGTTTCTGAGCTGGTGCCCCAGCTGTGCCTTCGACACAGTTGCAAGCTGGCAGCTTCAGGATAGCGCAGTAGATGAAAGGACAAGTGGACCCTGTCACCATGTGCCCACTGCTGCACCTCCTTTGCTGTGGAATCATATGGGATCCTGTATGACTATCCCATAATCTATAGATCCCATAATCTATCCCAGTAGATTAAACATTCTATAAGCCCTTTGAGAGTTGTGCTGGATGAAGCTCTACAAGCAGTGAAGATGAACTCGTATCTGGAATATACATCTATGCCAGTGAAAATGAATCACAGCTCTTTCCAGGGTAGACAGGGTTTAATATAGCCAACTTCCCAAGTGGCTGCTGGTTGTTCTCAAGGGATGGAGCTATATCTAGGTTCAGAGTTGGTCTCTGTTACTGGCAGGCCGAACACTCAGCAGCAGCAATAGCTAGATCAGTCTTGGTGAGTGGGAGCCATGCCATACCATCTGATATGGTTTGGCTCTGTGTCTCCACACAAATCTTAACTCGAATTATAATCCCCACGTGTTGAGGGAGGGACATGGTGGGAAGTGATTGGATCACGGAGCCGGTTTCCCCCATGCTGTTGTCATGATAGTGAGTGACTTCTCAAGAGATCCGATGGTTTCAAAGTGTTTGGCAGTTCCCCCTTTGCACTCTCTCTCTCCCCTGCTGTCTTGTGAAGAAGATGCCTGCTTCCCCTTGCCTTCTGCCATGATTGTAAGTTTCCTGAGGCCTCCCCAGCCATGTAGAAATTTGAGTCAATGAAACCTCTTTCCTTCTTAAATTACCCAGTCTCAGGTAGTATCTTTATAGCAGTGTGAAAATGGACTACTACACCACCATGGTTGCTGTTTATACACCCATTGTGTCAGCTCTGGGGTGGCCTCAGAGACTGGTTGATGTCAACTGTGTGTACATTGTTGTTTAGTGCTTCTCCATGGTATGTGCTCTCTGGTGGGTGTTTACATGGAATACAATGATCTTCACACTTGGTGCCCACTCCTATAGGTCCAACTACATGCCTCCACCACAGGTCTCCTTGTTTCCAATTTTCCAATCTTATTCCTTTCAGACCCCTTACCAACCAGCCAAGCCATTCACCACTGCCCATGAGATCCATGTATAGTCTAAGCTCAGGCTCCTTCTCTTTCCACATACAGTGGATGGCTAGGTGCATGATGCACAACCTATGCCCACTAGAAGGACTCCCCACTCTGCTGTCTTTCAAGGATGCCCCTGTGTGGGGCTGCAGTGCAGCCACGGTCTTTTTTTGTCTTGCTCACACACACTGAGCTGACCTATCTAAGGATAAGGCATGGCTTTTTTTCTCTTCTATCAGCTGGATATTATAAAGAGCTCCCCAGGCAGCCAAAGGTGTGAAATGAGGAACAGGCAGGTACTGGTGCAAAGGTAGTGGATGACATAGATGTCTGGGCCACCTGCTCACGTAACTATCTTCTGCCCTCTGGCCCTGCTATGCCCAACCCCAGTTGTATTATTTCTATCTTAGGAATTGCTGCTGGCTTTGCCTGACCTTATGACTTGGTGGATATGGCAGAATCCAGCTCATGATGAACAGCTTTGGTCACATGGTCAACTTGATGATCCATGGTCTGATGATCTGTCTCTACCAGAACCCTGTAGCATCAAGAGTTGTTTCTTAAGAAGTATAAAATTCTTGGCTACAGATGGCATGGCCCTGCTCCAGAACCCCAGGTGTCTACATTGTGATTCTCCTGTAGGGTCTTGTCATAAACTTCACAGGCATCTGTTCCCACCACAGATACCTCGGGTACTTTGGGCTCTGCCAGCTCATCTGTCCCACACCGCATGGCCACTTGTGTTGTAGCCTGGAGCTTCTGCTGAGCCCTTTCCTGCTCTGGGCCCCAATCAAAACACAACTTTCTGTGTCATCCGGTACATGGATGGAGCATATTCCTAGGTGTGGGATATGCTGTCTCCAAAACCTAAAGAGGGCTCCCAGGCATTGTGCTTCCTTCTTAATGGTTGGAGTGAGATGCAATAATTGTCTTTTACTTTCAAGAGAATGTCCCTGCCACATCCCAGACCATTGGCCCCTAAAAATCTCACTGCACCCTGCCCATTTGTGTTTTCAAAAATGGTCTGGGCAAGGCAAAGTGACTCATGCCTGTAATCCCAACACTTTGGAAGGCCAAGGCAGGAGGCTCACTTGAGGCCAGGAGTCCAAGACAAGCCTGATCAACATGGTGACAATCTGGCTAATAAAAAATCAGCCAGGTATGATGGCACATACCTATGGTCCCAGACACTTGGGAGGCTTGAGGTAGGAGGCTTGCTTGAACCTGGGAGGTCAAAGCTGCAGTGAGCTGTAATTGCACCACTGTACTGCACCCTGGGCGACAGAGTGAGACCCTGACCCCCTCCCAAAATAAAAATAAATAGTAAAAATTGTCTGTTTATTGTCTGTTTACAGTCTTCACTAGACTGTAAGCTTCTTGAGGCCAAAGATTATGTCTTCTCTATCCCTGTGACCCTAATACCTGACACGTAAGAACTCAACAAATATGTATTGAAAGAATGATTTTATCAACATTAAAAACCAGCATTTGATTGGATGTCTTGATCTTCTTGGATCTTGAAACCAACCTCCCCAGGTTATGAGTAAGTCCATCCCTGACAGTAATTGTATCATTTTGATTGATTTAAAGAAAATACAATGTCATCCAATCAAACCATCTTTCCTTTGATACCAGGGTAGTGTCACCCAACTAACTGAAACTCCCAAAGCTTTGTTTTCTGGATGGACTCCCTTCCCTTGCAATAATGGGCAGTAACAAACTGAGCCTTTGCCCCATCTGGCTGTGATAAACACATTCAAAACACATTACCAATCTCAGAGTAAGGTTCTGAGGCCTGAGGCTACAGCAAAAGAAAACCAAGGTTGACAGGCACAAGTTTAAGAACCTGATATTCTATAAATGAAAAAGGCCAGCTACCTGTTCCTTCACCACAGAACACAGTAAATGCATTATCTGGGTCTCCTGCCATTTTTCAAACCTGGGATTCTCTAATGATATCTGTTTGGGCAACTTTAAACTTCATTTGTCAAAAAAAAAAAACCTCTAATTGACTGAATCTCAAGTGTTTCTTTCCTTTGCCTTAAATTGTTGGGTTTCTTTTGAATGTTTAAAATTTTCTTAAAATATCTGTTTTTGTTTTTGTTTTTTAAATCTTTTTAAAACACACATCTGATTAGGTCCCTCACCTCCTCAAAAACTTCCCATGGTATCCCATTATCTGAAGGCCAAAGTCCAAACTCGTTGATAAGGCCTCCAAGGCCTTGGTTACTTTTTTTGCCCAATTTCTCACTACCATTCCTAAGAACCTTATGCTTCAGCCACCTCATATTATTTGCCTTTACTGAAACTAGCCATACACCTCACGCTTCTGTGCTTTCACATAGACTGAGCCCTCTGCTAAGAACTCCTACCTATCCTTCTGGCTTTGGTTCAAACATGAACTCCTCTGTGAAGATTCTTCCTCTGAGTGGTGTTATTCATTCCTTTCCCCATCTTCTCAATATTTTCATGTCTATAGTTATCACCCAATATGCTATACTCTATTTATTTAGTTATGTGTCTATCTGCCTCACCAGACTCAGAGGAAATTATCTCTCCTTTATTGCTGTGTCCCCAGTGCCAGTCTAGTCCTTGGCACACAGAAGATGGGCAATATTTGTTTGTTGAATGAATGAATGAAAATACAGAGACTGAGTCCCTACACAGAGGACCAAGACCTCCAATTTTTATTTATTTATTTTTATTTTATTTTATCTTTGAGACTGAGGTGAGTCTTGCTCTGTCGCCCAGGCTGGAGTGCAATGGCGCCATCTCAGCTCACTGCAACCTCCGCCTCCCGGGTTCAAGCAATTCTCCTGCCTCAGCTTATCGAGTGCTGGGATTACAGGTGCCTGCCACCAGATCTGGCTAATTTTTGTATTTTTAGTACAGGCAAGGTTTCACCATGTTGGCCAGGTTGGTCTCAAACTCCTGACCTCAAGTGATCCGCCTGCCTCAGCCTCCCAAAGTGCTGGGATTATAGGTGTGAGCTACCATGCCCAACCAGGACCTCCAAATTAACCACTACAAGAAAAGCATCAATAAGCTATTAGAGCAGACACAAATGGTATTTACTTTCCCACATTTCCCCTAGCAACTGAACTTGCTTATAAGACATATTCACACCTTGACTTACAGGTAACTCAGAGGTCTCAGGAACTACTCTCACCCCATTTCAGGGGCAACTTTTTTCTTTTTCTCTTTTTTTTTTTTTTTTTGAGACAGAGTCTCACTCTGTTGCCCAGGCTGGAGTGCAGTGGTACAATCTTGGCTTACTGCAGCCTCCATCTCCCAGGTTCAAGCGATTCTCATACCTCAGCCTTCCAAGTAGCTGGGATTACAGGCGCCTGCCATCATATCTGGCTAATTTTTGTATTTTTAGTACAGACAGGGTTTCGCCATGTTGGCCAGGCTGGTTTCAAACTCCTGACCTCAGGTGATCTGCCTGCCTCGACCTCCCAAAGCGCTGGGATTATAGGCATGAACCAATGCACCCGGCCTCAACCTTTTCATTTTTAACAGACTGTAGCTCCGAGTTACTTCTCAGTGTGTGGGCAAGATTGGGAGGGATGTCTGCAAGCTTCCTTCCCTTCAGCAAATGCTCAGAATAGCTCCATTAGCGTTCATGGAAATTCTGCACATGCATCAAGGAGAAAACAGCCACAAATAACA